>NC_000015.10:22358242-22531968 GCF_000001405.40 Homo sapiens
GAATTCATTTCTCGTCTTTCCCTGTCTTGAAGTACCTGCTCAATGTCTCTGTGGGAGGCTTTGCTTCCCAGCCTGTTAAGATGGCCGTCCTGCAGCTTCAATCCTTTCTCAGAAATAAAGTCCCCTTTCTAAATCAATAAATTGGGTGATTCTTCAGTTGACAGCACAAGCTGGCGGAAACATGGTAATTCCATAAATGTCTGGAGGACAGGTGTAGACAGGGATGGGGTAAGAACTCCTGGGGGGCCACACACCCCACACTATCATGGAATTTCCCTCCAGAAAATTCTGGGTTCTCAAGATGAGAGTCCAAACAGAATCACTCGTAGCTCTGTCGTCAGGAGAACTATTCTGTGATAAATATGCCCAGAACTTTCTCCTAACAGATGCTACAGAGACAAAATACTTTTCAAGATCTTTATTCTATGTGAGAGGAAGGGATTCTTTTCCATCCCAGACAGCTTCATCTTAGCCTTCCCGTGTCATGAAAAGGGGTATAATTAATAAACAACTGGGGTCAGATTCAAGAAAATAATCTGTGGATGCTGCAGCCAGGAAGGGGAGTGGAGGATGGAGGAAAATCCGCTGTACCACTGGAGACTCCTTGTAAAGGGTGCAGCCTAGAGAAAACACAGCAAGAAAACATTGGAAGTCAATTTCCAGAACATATACTGCTCCCCTGTCCACTGCATTACCTCCCCTCCTCACCAATAGGATTAATCTGGATTAAAGAGAAAAGTGTGATAATGCACAGACTCTGTCCAAACACTACAACTTAGGGAAACCAAAGGCAGTGGGAGAGAACAAGTCAAGGACAGTGAAGTGATTCAAAGCCTCTGAGAACAACAGCTTCAGGACCAAGGTCACAGCCTCTCCCTCAATGGCCTTAGATTTACTTCTCATGGGGCATCTGCAGGGTTCCCAGGTGAGAACTGGCAAAGAGAACATGAAGGCACTTCCCAAATCTCCAGTAATACTGAGCTTGCTTTAGCTCTGTCTGGAAAAAATAACAACAACAAACACAAGCAGGACTATGGCCAGTGTTGGAAGCACTTTTCATTGAGACACTTGGAAGGAGGGCAAATCTGAGTCTCGTTACTGTGCAAATGTGCCACTGTGAGTGTATGTGTGTGTGTGTGTGGGGGGGTGCTTTGAGACATAGGGTCTTTGTGTAAAGTTACAATCTGATGTGATCGTCAACCACAGAATCCTAAAAAAAAATAGAGGCTGCCCCAAAGTTCCCATCGGTTCCTAGACTTGCCATGTGTCCGGACCCTATCAGTGCACCTAGAACTCCAGGGAAGGGGCTCCCTGGTGGCTTTAGTGATTCCTTGTTGCTGTGCTGAGGTCTCCCGGTAGATTATGTCGGGTGTTCTAAGGCCTATTTGCTACTGTAAGAGATGGTGGGAGAAGCAATTGCTGCCATTGAAAGAGCATTCTGAGTCAGGGCAAGGCCACTTCATACTGTGCTTGAGACGCTGGGAGGAGAATTCTCTATGAGCCCAGACAGGAACTTTCCTGCAGGGCAGGAGCTGAGCTGCAGGGGGCGCTCAGGGCGCACCCAGCACAGGATCCAGCCCTGGAGCAGGTGCACAGGAGGCTGGGGAGGGGTTTTCTCTCAGGAATTGAATGTTCTTTATTTCAAAGCAATAATAACCTAAAATCTAAATAAGAATGTAGTAAGTACTGATGTGTCTTTAAGTATTCTATTATATATGTAGCCTATACCTAACCAAATAATTGAATGCAAACAGCATTTAAAAGGAGAAATGTCTGGTCTTTTCAAATGTATTTATAGTTAGGAATTGAAGAGTGGTTTTATTAATTCAATGGGTGTTACTGTCGGAAGATACACTCATCCCAGAATTTAGATGTGCAGAGGTCAAGGCCCAGGAAAAGTTCAGGTTGTCAGGGTGCCATATGAACAAGAAATGACATTGAGGACAATGTCCTGGGAGATTCTGGTTTTCTGTAAAACGAGTTCTGTCTTCATGGACTTCTGAGCATAACAGAGGGCAAATATCATTAAACAAAGTTCAGGGCAGGGAGCTCTGCATCCCACTGTGGCGTGGTCCGTGTGTCACCTATCTTCTTCCTCAGGTTGAGGTGGCTTGAGCTATGAAATACCTGCCTCGTGAATATGCAAATGCACTGCTGTCTACCGAGGTACATACAGATCTGTCCTTGCCCAGAGAGCATCACACAACAACCACATCCCTCCCCTACAGAAGCCCCCAGAGCACAGCACCTCACCATGGACTGGACCGGGAGGATCCTCCTCTTGGTGGCAGCAGCCACAGGGAAGAGAATCCTAAGTTCCAGGGCTGATGAGGGGACTGGGTCCAGTTAAGTGGAGTCTCAACCACTTCTCTGTCCTCTCCACAGGTGCCCATTCCCAGGTCCAATCGGTGCAGTCTGGGGCTGAGGTGAGGAAACCTGGGTCCTCAGTGAAGGTGATCCCAGATACACCTTCACCTTCCACTACATACACTGGGGGCGACAGGCCCCTGGAAAAGGGCTTGAGTGGATGGAACGTGTTGATCCTGAAGATGGTGAAACAATATATGCACAGAATTCCAGGGCAGAGTCACCACGACCTGGGACACGTCTACAGACACAGCCTACATGGAGCTGAGCAGCCTGAGATCTGAGGACACAGCCGTATATTAATGTGCAAGACACGCAGTGTGAAAACCCACATCCTGAGAGTGTCAGAAACCTTGAGGAAGGAGGCAGCTGTGCTGGGGGTGAGAAGATGACAGGATTTATGAGGTTTAAACGTGTTTAGAAAATGGGTTAAGTAATTGAGGAAAAGAAGCAATAGAAAGATGTATACACTCTAATTATATAGGAAATAGTCTTTTCAACTTTCACCCTGTAAGTAAAATTCACAGAGTGGGAAAGGCAGCAATCAATCAGGCTGATGCAAACACTCCCATGGAAGCCTTGTGGGGACATAACATTTTAAAATCGAATGGATAAATCATTTGGAGCAGGATTGCTTTATCACGTGGTAAGACTAAACATAATTTCTAAGAAGTGGCCAACATTTCTTCCAAAATGTCTTTGCCACTTTTTTTACATTACATTTATTTTAAAACACTTTTAGGATCACAGCAAATTTGAGTAGAAGAAACAGAGTTCCCATGTATTCCTGCCCAAGATACGCACAGACTTCTCCGTGATCAATACCCTGCACTGAAGTAATAACTTGCAACTGACAAACCCGCATGGACACATTAATTGTTTCCTTTTCTGGCGTCCCCTAGTATAACAAGCCTAAACTATCTTGAAACACCCCGGGTTCCTCAAGCGGATTACTGGGAATGATGCCAGGTAGAGGGAAAGTGGGTGGGGACGTTCCTCTTTGCACTCTTTCCTCAAGAATCCATAAAATGTACATTGATTTGGAGCTCATCTGACTTGTTTTTCTATGCCCCTTCCCAGAGGGTAAGGTCTCCAAGCATTTACAGCAGAGGTCCCCAACCCCTAGGCAGTGAACCAGAACTGGTCAGCAGCCTGTTAGAAACCAGGCAGCACAGCAGGTGAGCGGCGGGTGAGCATCACTGCCTGAGCTCCGCCTCTTGTCAGATCAGCTGTGCACTAGATTCTCCTAGGATCCAAATTCTATTGTGAACTGGGCATGCAAAGGACCTAGTTTGAGTGCTCCCTATGAGAATCTAATGCTTGATGAATGCAGGTGGAGTAAGTTCATCCCATAATCACTCACCGCCATCATCCATGGAAAAATTGTCTGCCACGAAACCGTTCCCTGGTGCCAAAAATGTTGGGGACCACTGGTGTAGAGGAAGGTCTGTGCCTGTGAAAGGCCAGCAGCTTCTGGTGAATCCCATAATCAATGTCCTTTAATGAGAAGTGAAGACTTTGGCCATGAGGGCTTTCATGAATAATGCCCTTCAGTTGAATTCAAAACACTATAAGCTCTTGGGGGGTGTTTCTGGATAAAGGCCTTTGTGAAGAAAATACAAACACATGCATGGGATCCAGGCAGGAAAAAAGCTTCCCTTAGAAAGTGGTTTGGTACCTGGAAGGAGCTCTCAGGGTTGGGCACTGGACCCCTTGCTGGCTGCACTTTAGCCAGAGGCCTGAGCCTGATTGATCTTGCAGCGAGAGAGCCTCACTGGGGTCACAGGTTACCAAAATGCCTGTCATCTTCCAGCTGAGCAAGCCCATCTGCATGCTTGTCACTGTCAACCCCATGAGGGGTGCACTCTGGAAGATGACAAGATGCACACAAACCTCCTCCCCCCACTTATCCACTACCACACAATCGAAACCAATTTATATTCCAGAAAGGGACAGGTGCCTGCAGGGATAAACAGAATGGAAGTATTATCTTACCTGGGAAAGACACTGCCAAATACCACATGTTTCAGGAAGATCAACTCATAAGTGTTCAGGAAGTGACTGAAGGGCAACGGTGGGTGAAGTGACGTGGCAGCCTCAGGGCTGCATGTGAGGAGGACTCCCTCCCCCATGCAGGCTTTGCCTCCAGGAGCTGCACCAGGAACTCACAGAGGATCAGGAATTATTCTGAGAACATACTTCTGAGTGCTGCCTACAGGGAGAAAATAAATTATAAAAAATAAATCAATTCTAAACAAAATATGACATTTGTTATTAGAAACTATTTCTGGAACCTGTGGGAAACAAACCAACCCTGTGGCTGACAGCAACCACCGGCAGCCACCATCCCCTCCACAGCCCTGTGTTTGGAACATCACCTGAGTGATTGTATAAGGAACTTTCTTTCAGAATCATCTTAAAAACTTATGTGTCCCATTTCACATGGAGAGGTCATCTATCCATTTTGTCTTCATAGAGAAATAGAAGGAGGTGAATACCAAATACACTTCATATCTCCGGATTATTCAAATCTAATTGCCCCTTTATCACCTTCTGATTTCTGGTCTACACAGAACAATCTGCAAATTTTTCTCACTGGTGTTATACTAAAACTTGTGAAGGGCCAGATACTGGAATAATTTCAACTTACATTATTATTCTAATAATTCTAAGAATTTAGAATTAAGATTATCCTCTTTTCATAGATGGACAAACTAACCTAGATATTTGAAAATAAACCCTTAACTGAGACTGAAAAGATCAGCCATAGATTTGGAGAATTTGCTTGCAAATCCAATATTTGGAAAAGGGCTTTTATCACAAATATATAAATTGACTTATAATTGAACAAAAACAAAACCACAAAATTTATTTTTAAAATGGGCAAAGACCTGAAGAGAAACCACATCTAAAAGTAAAGATAAAAAGTGATCAGTTTGATTTTTATTAGGTAAATGTACATTTAATATTCAAAAAATACTGCTAACCTGCTAAAATGGGTAAAATAAACAATATAGACAATACCAAATGGTGAAGAGAAAGCTGAAAATCAGGAACTTTCACTTACTGCTGTTGGGAATGCTAAAATGGTACATAGACAACTACAGTTAATAATTTATTGTATATTTGAAAATAGCTAGAAGAGAAAATTTAGAATGTCCTTAACACAAAGAAATAATCAATGATTGAGATGAAGGATATCCCGGTTATCCAGGTTTGATCACTGCACATATTATTTTATCAAAATATCACATGTACCACATAAAGGTTTTGAACTGTTATGTATCTGTATAAATTCAACATTTAAAAATCAAATGCAGGGGAATCCAGCTAATTGCAGATTCCCATTAGATGGGATGCTCTATGTAATCTGTAAACTAATCAGAATCTGTGGGTTTGTAAAAGGACTTTAGAAATCAACTAGATTACTTGTTTCTAAAGATAAGTCTTGCAAGTTTAATTATTTTCCTAATGGGGGGCAATTTTGAACACAGAAGAAATGTTAACATTTGTTTCTTGTAACTTTTCTTCTAGTATCAGGAGAGAAGGTTTGCAGGGAGGAATCTGGGACCATCTTTCATGTCTCAACTTTAAAGTGATTACCTCAATGAATATTTTCTGATACCCCTGATTAGGATAAGTCTCATATATGTCCTATAAACTAAAAATAGAATTCTAAGCAACCCAACTGGCTGAATGGACCCTTCCTCTTCAAAAAGGAGTTCCAGAGATACTTGAAAAGCTAGTTTAGGCCATGTTAGCAAGAAAGGATCAGAAATGCCTCATTATGCACTCCTGCCTTTGGAATTCAAGCACAACTAACCAGCATTTTCATTCAAACAGATCTTAAGGCTCAGAAAACAGATTCTTTGTAGCAGTAAGATACCAAATTCTAACCTGACTCAAGAATAGCATCACATGACAGCAGGCCTTGAGAGGAATCAAAGTCTTTTGCCCTAAAGTATATTTTTGACATATTTTAAATTGCCCTGCACAGTTATATTTTGTGAGAGAAATTTACATTCTGTAGAGAATCGCTTTACCTTTCCAGGTGTTTTTGTTATATGGAGGAGATTAACTGAGAGTCTAGCATCTTTTAAAGGTCTTAATAGAAAACACTTGCCATCTATTGCCTCTAAGGGTGGCCACATAAGAGACTTCATCTGCATAATAAGAATATTGTTCTCCAAAGCCCGCTCTCTAAATCTAGAAACTTTTTCAACTGATTTCAGGTCTTTAGATAAAACCTTAAGTCTTTTAATCAATTGCCAATAAGAAAAACTTTGAATCCACCTGTAAGCTGTAATCCCCTCCCCACACTGCCTCACTTCTTGCTGTTTTGTCTTTATAGACCAAATCAACACATATCTCACATGTATTGATTGATGTCAAATGTCTCTCTAAGACATTAGATATAAGAGCAATCAAACCACTTTGGGCACATGTTCTCAAGGTCTTCTAAGGTGTGTCACAGGGCATGGTCCTCACATTTGGCTCAGAATAAATCTCTCTAAATATTTTGCAAAGTTACCTTTTTTAATTATACTTTAAGTGATGGGATACATGTGCAGAACGTGCAGGTTTGTTACATAGCTATACATATGCCATGGTGGTTTGCTGCACCCATCAACCCGTCATCTATATTAGGTGTTTCTCCTAATGTTATTCCTCCCCTAGCCCCTCACCCCCCAACAGGCCCTGTTGTGTGATGTTCCCCTCCCTGTGTCCATGTGTTCTCATTGTTCAACTCTCCCTCATGAGGGAGAACATGCAGTGTTTGGTTTTCTGTTCCTGTGTTAGTTTGCTGAGGATGATGGTTTCCAGATTCATCCATGTCCTTGCAAAGAACATGAACTCATTCTTTTTTATGGCTGCATAGTATTCCGTAATGTATATGTGACATATTTTCTTTATCCAGTCTATCACTGATGGGCATTCGGGTTGGTTCCAAGTCTTTGCTATTGTCAACGGTGCTGCAATAAACATACACGTGCATGTGTCTTTATAGTGGATTAATTGTTCATCCTTTGGGTATATACCCAGTAATGGGATTGCTGGGACAAATGGTATCTCTAGGCCTAGATCCTTGAGGAATTGCCACAGTGTCTTCCACAATGGTTGAACTAATTTACCCTCCCACCAATAGTGTAAAAGCATTCCTATTTCTCTACATCCTCTCCAGCATCTGTTGTTTCCTGACTTTTTAATGATTGCCATTCTAACTGGCATGAGATGCTATCTCACTGTGGTTTTGATTTGCATTTCTCTAATGACCAGCGATGATGACCTTTTTTTCATATGTTTGTTGGTCTCATAAATGTTTTCTTTTGAGAAGTGTCTGCTCATATCCTTCACCCACTTTTTGATGGCGTTGTTTGTTTTTTTTCTTTTAAATTTGTCTAAGTTCCTTAGAGATTCTGGATATTAGCTCTTTGTCAGATGGATAGATTGCAAAAATTTTCTCCCATTCTGTAGGTTGCCTGTTCACTCCAATGACAGTTTCTTTTGCTGTGCAGAAGCTCTTTAGTTTAATTAGATCCCATTTGTCAATTTTGGCTTTTGTTGCCATTGCTTTTGGTGTTTTAGTCATGAAGTCCTTGCCCATGCCTATGTCCTGAATGGTATTGCCTAGGTTTTCTTCTAGGGTTTTTATGGTTTTAGGTCTTACATTTAAGTCTTTAATCCATCTTGAGTTAATTTTTGTGTAAAGTGTAAGGAAGGGGTCCAGTTTTAGTTTTCTGCATATGTCTAGCCAGTTTTCCATACACCATTTATTAAATAGCAAATCCTTTCCCCATTGCTTGTTTTTGTCAGGTTTGTCAGAGATCAGATGTTCTAGATGTGTGGCATTATTTCTGAGGCCCCTGTTCTGTTCCATTAGTCTATATATCTGTTTTGGTGTCAGCATCATGCTGTTTTGGTTACTGTAGCCTTATAGTATAGTTTGAAATCAGGTAGCATGATGCCTCCAGCTTTGTTTGTTTGTTTGTTTTTGCTTAGGATTGTCTTCGCTTTACAGTCTCTTTTTTGGTTCCATATGAAATGTAAAGTAGTTTTTTTTCTAATTCTGAGAAGAAAGTCAATGGTAGCTTGATGGGGATAGCATTAAATCCATAAATTACTTTGGGCAGTATGGCTGTTTTTACAATATTGATTCTTCCTTTCCATGTCCATGAAATATTTTTCCATTTGTTTGTGTCCTCTCTTATTTCCTTGGGCAGTGGTTTGTAGTTCTCCTTGAAGAGATCCTTCACATCCCTTGTAAGTTGTATTCCTAGGTATTTTATTCTCTTTGTAGCAATTGTGAATGGGAGTTCACTCATTATTTGGTTCTCTGGTTGTCTATTATTGGTGTATAGGAATTGTTGTGATTTTTGCACATTGATTTTGTATCCTGAGACTTTGCTGAAGTCGCTTATCAGCTTAAGGAGATTTTGGGCTGAGAGGAGGAGGTTTTCTAAATATACAATCATGTCATCTGCAAACAGAGATAATTTGACTTCCTCTCTTTCTATTTGAATACCTTTATTTCTTTCTCTGGCCTGATTGCTCTGGCCAGAGCTTCCAATACTATGTTGAATAGGAGGAGTGGTGAGGGAGGGCATCTTTGTCTTTTGCTGGTTTTCAAAGAGAATGCTTCCAGTTTATGCCCATTCAGTATGATATTGGCCGTGGATTTGTCATGAATAGCTCTTATTATTTTGAAATATGTTCCATCAATACCTAGTTTATTGAAAGTTTTTAGCATGAAGTGGTGTTGAATTTTATTGACGGCCTTTTCTGCTTCTATTGAGATAATTGTGTGTTTTTTTCCATTGGTTCTGTTTATGTGATGGATTATGTTTATTGATTTGTGTATGTTGAACCAGCCTTGCATCCCAGGGATGAAGCCGACTTGATCATGGTGGATCAGCTTCTTTATGTGCTGCTGGATTTGGTTGGCCAGTATTTTATTGAGGATTTTTGCATCAATGTTTATCAGGGATATAGGCTTGAAATTTTTTTGATGTTGTGTCTCTGACAGGTTTTGGTATCAGGATGATGCTGGCTTCATAAAATGAGTTAGGGTGGAGTCCCTCTTTTTCTGTTGTTTGGAATAGTTTCAGAAGGAATGGTACCAGCACCTCTTTGTACCTCTGGAAGAATTCATCTGTGAATCTGTCTTGACCTGGGCTTTTTTTGGTTGGTAGGCAATTAATTACTGCCTCAATTTCAGAACTTGTTATTGGTCTCTTCAGAGATTCGACCTCTTCCTGGTTTAGTTTTGGGAGGGTGTGTGTGTCCAGGAAGTTATCCATTTCCTCTGATTTTCTAGTTTATTTGTATAGAGGTGCTTATAGTATTCTCTAATGGTAGTTTGTATTTCTGTGGGATGAGTGACGATATGCCTTTCCTCATTTTTTATTGTGTCTATTTGATTCTTCTCTCTTTTCTTCTTTATTAGTCTGGCTAGCAGTCTATCTATTTTGTTAATCTTTTCAAAAAATCACCTACTGGATTCACTGATTTTTTGAAGGGATTTTTGTGTCTCTATCTCTTTCAGTTCTGCTCTGATCTTAGTTATTTCTTGTCTTCTGCTAGCTTTTGAATTAGTTTGCTCTCGCTTCTCTAGTTCTTTAATTGTGATGTTAGTGTGTTGATTTTAGATCTTTCATGCTTCCTCTTGTGGGCATTTAGTGCTATAAATTTCCCTCTAAACACTGCTTTAGCTGGGTCCCAGAGATTCTGGTACATTGTATCTTTGTTCTCATTGGTTTCAAAGAACTTATTTATTTCTGCCTTAATTTCATTATTTACCCAGTAGTCATTCAGGAGCAGCTTGTTCAGTTTTCATGTACTTGAGCAGTTTTGAAGAGTTTCTTAATCCTGAGTTCTAATTTGATTGCACTGTGGTCTGGGAGACTGTTTGTTCTGATTTCCATTCTTTTGTATTTGCTGAAGAGTGTTTTACTTCCAATAATATGGTCAGTTTTAGAATAAGTGTGATGTGGTGCTGAGAAGAATGTATATTCTGTTGATTTGGGGTGGAGATTTATGTAGATGTCCATTAGATCCACTTGGTCCAGAGCTGAGTTCAAGTTCTGAATATCCTTGTTAATTTTCTGTCTCATTGATCTGTCAAATATTGACAGTGAGGTGTTAAAGTCTCCAGCTATTATTGTGCGGGAGTCTAAGTCTCTTTGTAGGTCTCTAAGAACTTGCTTTATGAATCTGGGTGCTCCTGTATTGGGTGAATATATATTTAGGATAGTTAGCTCTTCTCGTTGCATTGATACCTTTACCATTAGGTAATCCTCTTCTTTGTCTTTTTTGATGTTTGTTGGTTTAAAGTCTGTTTTATAACACACTAGGGGTGCAACCACTATTTTTTTTTCTTTCCATTTGATTGGTAAATATTCCTGCATCCCTTTATTTTGAGACCTTGGTGAGTCTTTGCACATGAGATGCGTCTCCTGACTACAGCACACCAATGGGTCTTGAGTCTTGATCTAATTTGTCAGTCTCTGTGTTTTAATTGGGGCATTTAGCCTGTTTACATTTAAGGTTAACATTGTTATGTATAAATTTGATCCTGTCATTATGATGTTAGCTGATTGTTGTGCCCATTAGTTGATGTAGTTTCTTCATACTGTTGATGATCTTTACAATTTGGTATGTTTTTGCAGTGGCTGGTACTGGTTTTTCCTTTCCATATTTAGTGCTTCCCTCAGAAGCTCTTGTAAGGCAGGCCTGGTGGTGCAAAAAATCTCAGTATTTGCTTGTCTGTAAAGGTTTTTATTTATCCTTTGCTTATGAAGTTTAGTTTGGCTGGATATGAAATTCTGGGTTGAAAATTCTTTTCTTTAAGAATATTGAATATTGGCCCCCACTCTCTTCTGGCTTGTAGGGTTTCTGCAGAGAGATCTGCTGATAGTCTGATGGGCTTCCCTTTACGGGTAAACCGACCTTTCTCTCTGGCTGCCCTTAACATTTTTTCATTCATTTCAACCTTGGTGAATCTGAAGATTATGTGTCTTGCAGTTGCTCTTCCCGAGGAGTATCTCTGTATTTCCTGAATTTGAATGTTGGCCTGTCTTGCTAGGTTGGGAAAGTTCTCCTGGATAATATCCTGAAGAGTGTTTTCCAACTTGGTTCCATTCTCCCCATCACTTTCAGGTACACCAGTCAAACGAAGGTTTGGTCTTATCACATACTCCAATATTTCTTGGAGGCTTTGTTCATTCCTTTCATTCTTTTTTCTCTAATCTTGTGTTCACACTTTATTTCATTAAATTGGTCTTGAATCTCTGATATCCTTTCTTCCACTTGTTCAATTCAACTATTGATATTTGTGTATGCGTCACGAAGTTGTTGTGCTGTGTTTTACAGCTCCATCAGGTAATTTATGTTCTTCTTTAAACTGGTTATTCTAGTTAGCAATTCGTCTAACCTTTTTTCAAGGTTCTTAGCTTCCCTGCATTGGGTTAGAACACGCTCCTTTGCCTCAGAGGAGTTTGTTATTACCCACCTTCTGATGCCTCCTTCTGTCAGTTCGTCAAACTCATTTTCCGTCCAGTTTTGTTCCCCTTGCTGATGAGGAGTTGTGATCCTTTAGAGGAGAAGAGGTGTTCTGGTTTTGGGAATTTTAAGCCCTTTTGAACTGGTTTATCCTCATCTTTGTGGATTTATCTACCTTTGGTCTTTGATGTTGGTGACCTTCAGATGGGGTTTCTGTGTGGACGTCCTTTTTGTTGATGTTGATACTATTCCTTTCTGTTTGTTAGTTTTCCTTCTAAAAGTCAGGCCTCTCAGCTGCAGGTCTGCTGAGTTTGCTGGAGATCCACTCTAGATCCTATTTGCCTGGGTATCACCAGCAGAGACTGCAGAACAGCAAAGATTGCTGCCTGCTTCTTCTTCTGATTCGTCCTAGAGGGGCACCTGCCAGATGCCTGCTGGAGCACTCCTGTATGAGGAGTCTGTCAACCCCTGTTGGGAGGTGTCTCCCAGTCAGGAGGCATGGGGGCCAGGGACCCACTGGAAGAGGCGGTCTGTCCCTTAGCAGCGTGGACCGCTGTGTTGGGAGATCTGCTCATCTCTTCAGAGCCAGCAGGCAGGAATGTTTAAGTCTGCTGAAGCTGTGTCCACAGCCACCCCTTCCCCCAAGTGCTCTGTCCCAGGGAGATGGGGGTTTTATCTATAAGCCCCTGACTGGGACAGTTGCCTTTTTTTCCGAGATGCCCTGCATAGCGAGGAGGAATCTAGAAAGGCAGTCTAGCTACAGCAGCTTTGCTGAGCTGTGGTGGGCTCCGGCCAGTTTGAACTTCCAGGTGACTCTGTTTACACTGTGAGGGGAAAACTGCCTTCTCAAGCCTCAGTAATGGCAAACGCCCATCCGCCCACCAAGCTCGAGCATCCCAGGTCAACTTCAGACTGCTGTCCGGGCAGCAAGAATCTCAAGCCAGTGGATTTTAGCTTGCTGGGCTCTGTAGGGGGGGATCCATTGAGCTAGACCACTTGGCTCCCTGCCTTCAGCCCCCTTTCCAGGGGAGTGAAAGGTGCTCTCTCGCTGGCGTTCCAGGTGCCACAGGAGTATAAAAAAAAAAAAACAACTCTTGCAGCTAGCTTGGTGTCTGCCCAAATGGCCCGGTTTTGTGGTTGAAACCCAGGGTCCTGGTGGTGTAGGAACCCGAGGGAATCTCCTGGTCTGCGGGTTTTGAAGACCGTGGGAAAAGTGTAGTATCTGGGCCAGAGTGCACCTTTCCTCAGGGCACAGTCTCTCACCGGGCACAGTCCCTCACGGCCTCCCTTGGCTAGGGGAGGGAGTTCCCTGACCCACTGGACTTCCTGGGGGAGGTGACACCCCACCCTGCTTCAACTCGCCCTCCGTGGGCTGCACCCACTGTCTAACCAGTCCCAATGAGATGACCCTCAGTTCGAAATGCTGACATCGGCGAACGCAGGAGGCCATGGCCGCCACCGCCACTGCCTCCGAGGCCGGGCGCAGAAGAGCCGCCGCTGTGAGCGGCGCAGTCCCGGCCCCCGCCGCCGCCCGAGGAGAACGGGAGGGCGGGCGAGAGAGCCGGGGAGTTGCGGAGCCCGCCCGCCGCCGGCAGCACCGCTCCCCAGGGAGGGAGTCCACAGCCTGAGGTTATATCTTAAGTGTGGTGCTGCTAACATTGCCCAGGCAACATCTGGTTCAGCTTTATCTATATTTTTTGACTGCTCTGCTTTTCTATACTGGACATCAAATTTCCAGGGACTACGTTCGGAGTGAACTGCGGTTTGCCTATGAGGGACCAATGTATTTAGAACCTCTCTCTATGAATCGGT
Source organism: Homo sapiens (assembly GCF_000001405.40). Classification (NCBI taxonomy): domain Eukaryota; kingdom Metazoa; phylum Chordata; class Mammalia; order Primates; family Hominidae; genus Homo; species Homo sapiens. The sequence continues at coordinate 22,371,920 of NC_000015.10, forward strand.
TTACCACAGCCTTAATAGGTCAGTTGGTGGTGTGTACTTTATGCTCCTGTGTCATGAAAACAAAGCAGATTTGGCTGTTTTCAGCTCACGTGCTTCCTCTGCTAGCACGACTCTGCCTGGTTCCTTTGGAGACAATTGTTATCATCAATAAATTTGCTATGATTTTTACTGGATTGGAAGTTCTCTATTTTCTTGGGTCTAATCTTTTGCTACCTTATAACCTTGCTAAATCTGCATACAGAGAATTGGTTCAGGTAGTGGAGGTATATGGCCTTCTCACCTTGGGAATGTCCTTGTGGAATCAACTGGTAGTCCCTGTTCTTTTCATGGTTTTCTGGCTCATCTTATTTGCTCTTCAGATTTACTCCTATTTCAGTACTCGAGATCAGCCGGCATCACGTGAGAGGCTTCTTTTCCTTTTTCTGACAAGTATTGCAGAATGCTGCAGCACTCCTTACTCTCTTTTGGGTTTGGTCTTCACGGTTTCTTTTGTTGCCTTGGGTGTTCTCACACTCTGCGAGTTTTACTTGCAGGGTTATCGAGCTTTCAGGAATGATCCTGCCATGAATTGGAGCATGACAGAAGGAGTAACGCTGTTAATCCTGGCAGTGCAGACTGGGCTGATAGAACTGCAGGTTGTTCATCGGGCATTCCTGCTCAGTATTATCCTTTTCATTGTTGCAGCTTCTATCCTACAGTCTATGTTAGAAATTGCAGATCCTATTGTTTTGGCACTGGGAGCATCCAGAGACAAGAGCTTGTGGAAACACTTCCGTGCTGTGCGACTTTGTTTATTTTTATTGGTATTCCCTGCTCATATGGCTTATATGATTTGCCAGTTTTTCCACCTGGATTTTTGGCTTCTTATCATTATTTCCAGCAGCATTCTTACCTCTCTTCAGGTTCTGGGAACACTTTTTATTTATGTCTGATTTATGGTTGAGGAATTCAGAAAAGAGCCGGTGGAAAACATGGATGATGTCATCTACTATGTGAATGGCACTTACCACCTGCTGGAGTTTCTTGCGGCCGTCTGTATGGTGGCCTATTGCGTCTCAGAGACCATCTTTGGAGAATGGACAGTGATGGGCTCAATGATCATCCATTCATTCCTACTATAACGTGTGGCTTCAGGCCCAGCTGGGGTGGAAGAGCTTTCTTCTCCACAGGGATGCTGTGAATAAGATTAAATCGTTACCCATTGCTACGAAAGAGCAGCTTGAGAAACACAATGATATTTGTGCCATCTGTTATCAGGTAACTCCTTCGATAAGAATCTGTTTGGGACATGAAATCTGCTGTGATCACGCCTTGCGTTCATTTTTTCCATGCAGGCTGTCTTAAGAAATGGCTGTATGTCCAGGAGACCTGCCCTCTGTGCCACTACCACCTGAAAAACTCCTCCCAGCTTCCAGGATTAGGAACTGAGCCAGTTCTACAGCCTCATGCTGGAGCTGAGCAAAACATCATGTTTCAGGAAGGAACTGAACCCCCAGGCCAAGAGCATACTCCAGGGACCAGGATACAGGAAGGTTCTAGGGACAATAATGAGCGCATCGCCAGACAACCAGATAGCCAGGAAGGGGCTTTTGACCCCAAAGAATATCTTCACAGTGCAAAAGATGAAGCACATCCTGTTGAATCAGCCTAGAGGAGAAGCAGCAGGAATGATGCTTTCATACTCTGGAGGAGAAGTTAACTCAAGATGGAATTCATGTTCTGATTTGAGGAATGAAAATGAGATGATCAGGCAGGAAACTGACATTCCAAGGATCTAATCCAGGAAGTACTCTCAGTGGGGACCACCTGCTTTCATCCCCTGACATTGTGGGAGAAAGACAAATAGGAAGCTCTTCTATTAGGGCAATGTAGAGCTTGTGCTTTACTTATGTGACAGATATAGATATTTTGAATATTTTAAAATTAGGTATGATATTCTACCAAACACTATATATAGTGTTTATATATATATAACAAAATAAACACTATATATATATTATATATAATAAAATAAACACTATATATACCAAACACTATATATAGTGTTTATATATATAACAAAATAAACACTATATATATTATATATAATAAACACTATATATATACCAAACACTATATATAATGTTTATATATATATAAAACAAAATAACACTATATAATTCTATTGGTATAATTAATATATATGTAAGACAAAATAAACACTATATATAGAGTATATATATATATGTAACAAAATTTTGTGATACCTTGAAATTTAAGGTTGAATATTTGTATACATTCCAAGATAAATCTTGGTGAACATCATAAAATTAATTCTAATATTTTTTGTGCAAGATGATCACTTTCAAACTAGGTTTGACAACAGAGACCAGATGTATCTTTCCACCAGAAATACTTGTAAAACATAGTGAAATTTCTTAAATTCAATTTTATGATGTGTGACAACAGGTAACAAGGACAGTAATTGCTGAGAGGTGGGAAATAAACAAAAGGAGTCCTCTGATGAATGCACGCTCAGATGCTTCCTTAAGGGAGTTTCCAGGCACAGTGCTGAAGTGGAACCAGGTAGAACTGAAGTTGAGGAAAAAGAGCTGAGACTGACCATGGACTTGTCCTGGCCAATTTCCGGAGGCTGTGCACTGTGTGTCTTTCTGCCCCTGCACAAAGCCGTTTTCGTGTACAGAGCCAGATTGTAATTCGTCTAGTTCTCATGTCCTCACCCAAAAGCAAATATGAAATGCATGTAACGTTTGTGTTTGCTTATTACACATGAGAGCCTGCCTGTCATGTGACTATCAATAGGTCCTTCTATAGCCTGCTGAGTGTGTACGCTTGGCCAATCCATTCGCATGAATTCATTTCTTGTCTTTCCCTCTCTTGAAGTGCCTGCTCACAGTCTCTGTGGGAGGCTTTGCTTTCCAGCCTGTTAAGATGGCCGTCCTGCAGCTCCAACCCTTTTTCAGAAATAAAATCTCCTTTCTAAATTGATAGATTGGGTGATTCTTCCATTGAAAGCACAAGCTGGTGCGAAGAGTTACATGGTAATTCCATAAATGCCTGGAGGAGAAGCAGGGAAAGGGTAGGGTAAGAACTGGGGGCCACACACCTCACACTTTTATGGAATTTCCCTCCAAAAGCTTCTGGGTTCTCAAGACGAGAATTCAAACAGATGCCCTCATGGCTCTGTCATCAGGAGAACTATTTTCTGATAAATATGCCCAGAACTTTCTCCAGACAGACCCTACAAAGAAAAAATACTTTTCAAGATCTTTATTCTATGTGAGAGGAAGGGATTCTTTTCCATCCCAGACAGCTTCATCTTAGCCTTCCCGTGTCATGAAAAGGGGTATAATTAATAAACAACTGGGGTCAGATTCAAGACAATAATCTGTGTATGCTACAGCCAGGAGGTGGAGTAGAGGACAGAGGAAAATCAGCTGTATGACTGGAGACTCCTTGTAAAGGGTACAGCCTAAAGAAAGCACAGCAAGAAATCATTGAACATATACTGCTCCCCTGCCCACCATATCACCTGCTCACTAGGATTAAGATGGATTAAAGAGAAAAGTTTTGCAAGGCACATGCTCTGTCTAAGGACTAGAACTTAGGGAAACCAAAGGCAATGGGAGAGAACAAGTCAAGTACAGTGAAGTGATTTAAAGCCTCTGAAAGCAACAGCTTCAGGACCAAGATCACGGCCCCTCCCTCAATGACCTTAGATTTTCCTCTCGTGGGGCGTCTGCAGGGCTCTCAGGTGAGAATTGGCAAAGAATGTGAAGGCACTTTCCAAATCTCCAATAGTACTGAGCTTGCTTTAGCTCTGCTTGGAAAAAACAAACAACAAAACAACAAACATAAGCAGGACTAGGGTCAGAGTCGGAAGCACTTTTCATTGGCAAGACACTAGGAAGGAGGGCAAATTTGAGGTTTGTTACTGTGCAAATATTCCACTGTGAGTGTGGGGGCAGGGGCTTTGAGAAACAGGGTCTGTGCATAAAGTTCTAATCTGATATAATCTTCAACCACAGAATCCTAAAAAAAAGAGGCTGCCCCAAAGTCCCCATCAGTTCCTGCACTTGCCATGTGTCTGGAGGTATCAGTGCATATGGAGCTCCAGGGGAGGGGCCTCCTGGTGGCTTTAGTGATTCCTTGCTTGCTGCGCTGAAGTATCCCAATAGATTGCTGGGTTTTCTAAGGCCTATTCCTATTGTAAGAGGTGGTGTGAGAAGCAATTGCTGTCACTGAGGGAACATTCTGAGCCAGGACACATCCACTTCATACTGGGCTTGAGATGCTTGGAGAAAAATGCTCTGTGAGCCAGCTGGGATTACAAGTGTGTGGTGTCACACCCGGCTCACTTTGTATTTTTAGTAGAGATGGGGTTTCACCATGCTGGCCAGGCTGGTTTCGAACTCCTGACCTCAGGTGATCCACCCGCCTCTGCATCCCAATGCGCTGGGATTACAGGCGTGAGCCATCAGGCCTGGCCTGGAATAGTTAATATTTGCTATGTAAACCTCCACGTGATGCAAATATGAAACAAATGCCCACGTGCAATGTCTGTCCCATAATCATTCTGTGAACACATGAATAGCACTGAGTATGCACAGGGCTTGATTCCTTCTTGACCCTGGGTCTGGTTTCCTTTAAGGTAACCTTGAGTCAATGAGCCATTAGTAGAGGGTGGTATTCTACAGCCGAGTAGGCAGAAAAATAGACTGATCTTCTTTTGAGTTACAAATAAATACACTTTGAAATAGTAGAAATTCTTATAAATGAGCCGTAATCATATGAAAAAATGATGTGGTGGAACTTCTTTGGTGTCTGTGGCTGTTAAAGACAACGTGATTTTTACTAAAAACCAAGATAATTTTAAAAAATCTGTGAGGGATGAATATTCTTCGCCATTCACCAAGTTTGTAATCGGACGTCTTCCATAAGCTGCCCTTGAAAAAGTCACCAGTACAATTTTGTCTTTGTCAAAGTTGATTGCAGTAGCATGCTATTTGCTTATTCATATCTAGAGTCAAAATAAAGTAGCAATTCCCAAAGTGCAACAGAAGCTCTTCTAATTTCAACATGAAAATTACTGAAGTATTTGTTTAAACTGATGTCTTCTATTGTTTTCCTTTTCCATCTTCAAAGAAGACCCAGGGCTGAAGCCAGCAGCCCTGCCTGTGCCCTGCCTGCACCCTGCCCTTCCTCATGCCCAAGGCTGACAATGCCTTTGTTTCCCAGCATCTATGTTATGTTGAGGTATTTCTATGCATATAATACCTTGTTCAGAAGCTTTTGAATTCTTTTCTATGAAAATTTCCTGGTTTTACCTTAATAATAAAAATAGTAACATGAACACCTCAAGTCTGTTGTAAGCCTCAATTAGGATAAGGTGGTCCTAGGGAAATGGAGGCTTTAGAGAAATGTGCGTATGGGTAATGTAGTCACCATCTGGGACAGTGCTTCTCAAAGTGAGGTCCTTGCATCGACAGCATCTACATCATCTAGAAATAGGTTAGACACAGAAACCAGGAACTCCGGGGGAAGGCTCAGGTGTAGGCAGCTTCACAAGCTCCTTCGGGGATTCTTTGCAGGCTCTAGTTTAAGAACCATTGATCTAAGAAAATGGAGACTGGTTTTGGTGTAATATCAGCCTTACTAGTAATTTAAGCCTTATTTGGGGCAGTGGCTCTCAACTGTGAGCAATTTTGCCCAGTAAGGGTCATGGGCAAGGACTGGAGATGAATTTGTTTGCCACAGTTGGGCAGGTGGGCAGAGGCTCCCCAAACCGAGGAGTCAAAGAATTCTCCAGCCCAAACTGTCAATAATGAGAGGGCTAAGAAACCCTGATCTAGAATAATGTGGGTGTAGGATAATTTAAGCCCCATCAGGTCCTAGGTAGGGTAAATGAGGCCGTAGTTAAGGTAACATAGGCCTCATCTAGTTTGACGTAGATTTCTTCACAGTAACTTGTGCCTTACTGTGTAGGTACTGGGTCTTCCTTCAAAGCTTATCTAGGAAGACCCCTCTTTAGGGAAATTCACAAGGTGAGAGGTTCCTGTCTAGTCTCGGTGCCCTCTGTGAGGCCTCCTCTGCTTCTGGAAGCCTGGCTGCTCCAATCTCTTTCTAGGTGGCTGGGGCAGCCGCTCGACATTCACGCCACCTTGTGGCCACCGGTGCCACAGCGGGTACATCGCCTTCTTTGGGTCCCCTCATCATAATTGTTTATCAATAATGATTGATAAGAGTAACACCCGACCCTTGTAGGATCCATGTGTTTCTTGGCAAGTGTTTTATAGAGAGTGGTTATTTATGAAAGGAAGTCACCGGTAGAATGATTTTGAGACTTTTATAAGTAAATGACCTGCCGTTGCTCCCTTTTTTAAAAATGTATAAATAGAATGATAATAAAACTCATTGCATTATATTTCCACCAGGAATGTGTGATAGTTTCCATTAAATATATGACATCCTTGCTTCTCTCATACAGAAATGTATGCTTGCCAATATTTGGTATTTTTCTGGGTGGTTATTTGGGTAATTTTGGCTATGTTAATGGGTATGTAGTAGTATCTCATTATGATTTTAATTTGCATTTCCAGAGAACTAATTATGCTGAGAATCTTTCATGTGCTTATTGGCCTTTTTTTATCTTCTTTTGTGAAATGTCTGTTCAAAAAGACTATTTTATCTAGTTTTTTACAACTAAAATTGTGTGTATAATTATAGATTCATTTCACATGCAGTTGTAAGAAATTTCCCTTTGTATAAACTTTGGACCCCTATCTCTCTCTACCTCCTTGTAAGGCCAATAACTCTTGGATTTGCCACTTGAAGGGTATTTTCTAGATCTTCTAGGCCTGCTTCATTCTATTTCATTTTTTTCCTTTTGTCTCCTTTGACTAGGAGGTATTTTCAATTAGCCTGTCTTCAAGGTCACTAAATCTTTTTTTTTTTTTTCTAAAGACAAAGTCTTGCTCTGTCACCCAGGCTAGAGAACAGTGGCCCAATCTCAGCTCACTGCAACGTCCGCCATCTGGGTTCAAGTGATTCTCGTGTTTCAGCCTCCCTAGTACCTGGGATTACAGGTGCCCATCACCATACCTGGCTAATTTTTGTATTTGTAGTAGAGATGAGGTTTCACCATGTTGGCCAGGGAAGTCTTGAACTCCTGACCTCAGGTGATCTGCTAGCCTCAGCCTCCCAAAATGCTGGTATTACATGCGTGAGTCACCAGGCCTGGCCCCAAGCTCACTAATTCCTTCTTCTTCATGATCAATTCTGCTATTAAGAGATTCAGATGCATTCTTTAGTATGTCAGTTGCATTTTTTAACTCCAGAATTTCTGCTTGATTTTTAAAAATTATTTCAATCTCTTTGTTAAATGTGTTTGCTAGGATCCTAAATTGCTTCCCTGTGTTATATTGAATTTCATTGAGTTTCCTCAAAACAGCTATTTTGAATTCTCTGAAAGATCACATACCTCTGTCTTTCTGGAATTGGCTCCTGGTGACTTATTTATTTGACGAGGCCATATTTTCCTGGAGAGTCTTGATGCTTGTGGATGTTTGGTAGTGTCTGGGCATTGAAGAGTTAGGCAGTGTCATCTTTGCAGTTGGGCTTGTTTGTACCCATCCTTTCTGGGAAAGCTTTCCAGGTATTCCAAGGGACTTGGGTGTTGCAGTCTAAGCCATATCTGTATTAGGGGGCACCCCAAACCCAGTAACACTGTGATTCTTGCAGACTCAGAGAAGTACTGCCTTGATGGTCTTGGATAAGGGCCAGAAGAATTCTCTGGATTTATATTTTGCAATTTAAACTTATCACCATTTAATTTCATATAATATGATACCCATTCACGTATATTGTAAAAACCTTGCAACAATATATTTCTATCTCCTCCTCCCATCTTTTGTGCTACTGTCATTCTTAGGAAAAACCCGAACTGTTTCTCCTCTGCGTCCACACCAACACAACAGCAATCTACACAGCAGACTTCTGAGACCCTGAGTATGTGGGGGCTTTCTCCTCACCAGCAAGCAGGCAGTCACCTCTGCAGTGGGCACCAGCTGGACGTCCTCCAGTTCAATTCCAACTCTATCTACCCAGAGCTGGCATCAGATCCCACAAAGAGAGGGCCCGTTCTGCAAGGCTGCCACTTCCCCACCCCCAGACACCAGTCATAAGTCCAGGCTTCTGGAATTTCTAATCAACTGGCTTCAAGCTGGGCTTCCCACAATCCCCTCTATGGGTTTGATTAATTTGCTGGAGTGGCTCACAGAACTCAGGGAAATGCTTATGTTGTTTACCAGTTTATTATGAAGGACATTTTAAAGGATACGGATGGACAGCCATATGAAGAGATACACACAGGATGAGGTCTGGAAGATTTTGAAGGGTCCCAGGTGCAGGAGCTTGTGTCCATGTGGATTCAGGGAGCACCACCCTCTCAGCACGTGAATGAGTTCTTCACCTTTTAGTCACCCTTCATGTGTTCAGCTCTCCAGAAGCTTCCAAACCCTGTCCTCTTGGGTCTTTATATGGGGAATTTGTTGGATAGGCCTGATTGAAGCATGGGTGACTGTGGAAATGTGATTGGACAAAATGGGTTCTAAACCCAGCAAGGCCTGTGTGTTCAGATTCTTCTTGGCCTCTCTGTGTAGCCTTCCTTCCTCCAGGTTATGAGACAAAACCCTCTTTGGAATGAGGGTCTCATGACCCACAGAATCCAGCCATGGGCAGGGGAAAGAAGGGCAGGAGAAGGTGTGAGAGAGAGATTCTGTTTACTGTCACAAGGGCTATGAGAGTTATGAACAAGGAACTGTGGATGAAAACATATATGTATATGTTTCAATGACATGCCACAGCCATACTTTCATACAGTTTGTTTCTACATACGTCCTAAACACCATCATGCTTTGTTATTTTTGCTTAAACTGTAAATTATTTCATAAAAAATTATGAAAAGCAAGATAAAAGTATTTTATATTTACCTGTATGTTTCCCTTTTCCAGGATTAATTCTTTAGTGTTTGGTAACGTGTTTTCCTTGTCTAGTGATTTACATCGATTTTTGAAGGGATAAGACCAGTTGCCTGGGTAAAAATTTCACTTTCTGGATTTGCTTAATAATTTTGATATTCTTATTCCTCTATTGACTATTCTAGAGCTGGGAGAATACATCAGACATCTGTTGTACATAGAGTCATCATGAAATAGTAATTTATGTGCAAATGCCAGCTTTTCAAAAGTTGATGCCAATTTGTGTAAGTTTATGGTAGAATTTGCTAATCTATTTGTTTCAGAAAGATTTGGGAAATCAGATAGTGATCTCATTAAATCTTAGTATAGCATGACATATATTAGACCCTAAATAAATGCCGCTAAGATCAGTTTTATGATGAGAAGAAACGACGGCTTGGTTGGGCTCCATAAGGAATTTTGATTTTGTTCCCCATCATTGACATTCCCACCTGTAGAATAAGTGCTTAGCTTTCACACCTGTTTCCTTTTAGCATTCTAAATCAGAACCTCAGAAGCAAAATTAGGCTCCAGTTTTGGTTTAGAGTTTATCTTAGTAAACACAAAATATTGGTGTCAACATCACCATAAAGGAACATGTTTTAATTGCCATTAACATGAGAGAATAAGATGAATTCAGTTCCTTCTTTGAACAAACTTTCCCCAGGTGTGTGCCTTGCTAGGATCTACCCCAGACAAGGAGGGCACAAAGAAGCCATGATCTCTGCCATTTCTCCTGGACACTCATAGGCCAGTGCAAAGAAAGACACTTGCAAGCAAAAGACTCCAGTATAGTGAGATGAGCTTGATTTTAGAGGTATTACAAAGAATGCTGGCTTCACCAGGAAAATAAGGATTAGCTCTGGCTGTGCCTGAGCAAGGAGGTCACCAGAGAAGAAGAGATGACTGGGTTGACTTTTGAAGCTTTGAAGATGACTGGGTTGAAGTTTCGAAGAGATGACTGGGTAGGAGTTCAGTATGAAGGGAAGGTTATTCCAGGTAAAAGGACCAGCATTTGTAAAAGCAAAGAGCAACTGCTTTCAACTGGGGATGATTTTTCAGGGCACATTTGGTAATGTCCAAAGGTGTTTTGTTATCAAAACTGGGGGGTGGGTATGCTATTGGCACGTGGTGGGTAGAGGCCAGGTTTGCTGCTAACATCCTACAGCACACAGGCCAGGCCCCTACAACACAGCTCTCCAGCCCCGAGCATAAATAATACGGAGATTGAGAGACCCCGATGGGAGGCATGAAGCAGTGTGGCTTGTTCTGAAAACTGTGTTTTGTGTGGTTGGAGTGAAGTGTGCGGTGGATTGGTGAGGAAGGAGAATCCAAGGAAAACTGGAGGACCTGAGACCCAACAAATGGACTGGATGCTGAAGCTGCTGCTCCATGGCTCGAATCTCACCCCGAAGGAGACAGGAGCCACAGCAGTCCTTTTGGAGAACCAATATCAGCAGCACTCACATACGGAAAGATTACCCTGGCAGTAATGCCCAGATGGATGGCAGAGCAGGGAGGCGGCTGCAGTAATTCAGGGCAGAAATGGGGAGGGCTTTAAAGAAGAACAGTGAGACTTAGTGATCCTCTGACTGCAAGGAAGATGAAGGCACAGATGGCCGCTGAGTTCCTCGCGTGATGGCTGGGTGACTGTCCTCACTCACTGAGGCCAGAAACACAGCACAGAGGAGCAGGCTTCTGGAGAAAGGTGCTGAGCTTGAAAGGTGAAAGACATCTTGAGAATGAATAATATATCTAAGATAGCCCATGTGTGGACAACAGGGCCAGGAGGAAAATTCAGGGCTCTGCTGTTCTCTCTGTCGCAGTAAATGACCAGAAACTTCATAACAAAAGATTCACTGGGAAAACCCAGAGGAAGTTAGAGCCAAGCAAAATGCAGCTTGCTTTCGGCTTCCTCATCCCCTTTTCAGAGACTTGCCTGGTGCTCCCAAGTCTCAACAGCGCTAGTGGGAATGCAGCCAAACAATAAGGCTATTTTTTCTATACCATGTTGTTTCATTCTTTGGCTACTGTAATCTATATTATCAATTCTCTGAATTTTTTCCGTGCAAAGGAGAAATAAGTTGTTAATAAGTCAATGGACAACAAAGTTGACATTAACTCTCTGCAAAACTACAAATGTGAGTCCACATACTCATGAGCGTTGTGGGTGGACAGGCTGTGCTGCCTCTACGGGGCCCTCCTGCTTCGGCTCAAGGGCCAAGGAAGAGTACACCCCAGGGAAGACTTCACCTGGCCCAGGGTCCAGGGTTTCAGGCATGTGGATGCGATGTAGGAGCGGTAAGACCATTCAGGTCTCACTCAACTCCACTTCTCCTTCCTCCCCGCTCTGTGACACCTTCCTGTCCTCCTCACTCCTTCCAGAACAACAGAAAATGAGAAGGTTTCAGGTGATCTGTTTAGGAACCAACCACCTTGCTTTACAATGGCTTCTGTAGGGGGGTTCAAGGTCTGTGTGTCTAAATGTAGTCCAATGGTCCAATTAACCAGAGAAAACATAGAACTGATCAATTGCAAGGCAAAGTTGGCATGTAGACATACACAGTTACTCTTGGTACAAAGCTATTTCTGAGCATAGCTCAGATAGCCAGGCCAGGCCAGATAGCCAAGGCCATGAGGGATACTATGTGTTTAAATATGTGCATTGATAAGAAGCATAAACCTAACTGATTCCTCGTGAGAGAAAAAGAAAAGTGAAATCTGAAAAATGTCTTTGTGTAAGTCATGTAGCAACCACCTTGCAGTGACAACCCTGAGCTCACACAGGCTGCTGTCCCTGCTGGCTCTTCAATGGAAGAGGAAGGCAGTGTGGCAAGCCAGAGCTCAGTACTGGCTTCCAGAAGTGGAGGTCGATGTCTTTATGATGTTCTTGCCTCTGGCGGGGATAAAGTCTGGAATACCTGGAGGGAGAATGGATGTCCATTAAGATAGTAATACTTGTGATCTGCAAGTCTCTTGACAGCTTACGATCCTGCTCTCTGCAAAATGTTTCCACGCTTATCATTCATGTTCCAAATCCCTGTTTGGTGGTGCATTTTCTCTCGTGGAAATTCCATTATCACAAATGGAAACCATTTGCCTATGGCTTCCACCCACCAGTGACTTGACTACAGACAAATACGTTACCCATGTTTTTATTTATTTCTGTGTTCTTGGTGCTCTGGCATCTGGGGCCTCTCTGGCTGGGGAAAGACTGCTCCTCCCAGGGCCAGCTAATTCTTAGAGGTGATAAACACGCCTTTCACAAGCAAATTAACTGCTCCTATAGGCTCCCCCCTCCACTACCTTCTTTATGTGGCTCTTATCCTGCAGGAATATTGATTCCCTCACCTGGTCACCCCAGGGCCAGGCACCGGACGGCTTGGGGTGGCTCCCACATCACACCCATCCCCCTGCTCCCTGGGGACAATGTCACCCTAACCCACCCTCCCGCCCTCTCAGCTCCTGCCACATCCAGTTGGGCATTGGGTCTTTCTAGTTTTGCTGTTTTTAGGTCAAAACTATCAGTTTTTTATATCCTTTTTTTTTTTTTTTTCTGAGACGGAGTCTTACTCTGTCACCCAGGCTGGAGTGCAGTGGCATGATCTTGGCTCACTGCAACCTCTGCCATCCAAATTCAAGCAATTCTCCCGCCTCAGCCTCCCGAGTAGCTGGGATTACAGGCACCTGCACTGAGTCCGGCTAATTTTTTGTATTTTTAGTAGAGACGGGGTTTCATCATCTCAGCCAGGCTGGTCTGGAACTGCTGACCTCGTGATCCACCCGCCTTGGCCTCCCAAAGTGCTGGGATTATAGGCATGAGCCACCGCACCCGGCCAGTTTTTTATATTCTTAAATATATTTCAAAGTTTTGTTTTCTCTCCTGAACCAGGTCACCTGTCTCTTCCCCTGCTCAGCACATCTTTCGTCTGAACTCAGATAATGCCTCCTCCCTCTGGAAAGTCTGTCACCCCCTCCTTATACCGAAGTGAGTAGCTTCTCAGTACCAAATAGAGGACTTTGGGGACATGACTTCTTCCCATGTCTCCTTTTGAAACTCCTAGTGTTCTTCTATCCAACAAAGATTTCCTTATATCGACATAGTCCTCACTTCGCATAGTAGTCTGTGACTATAAGAACGACCATGCAAGCCAAAACTATAAAGTGATCTTAATAATCAGTGGAGAAAATCATGAGTGTTCTGCAACCTTTGAATTTTTTTATCCACACGTTAACATGTCTCTTACCATTGCATATTGTCTTCATATGAACACATGAAAACGAAACTCAGGAAAACTGATATTTATTTCATATATTGTAATTTAAAATCTTTAGACACACTGATAGTTCAAGCTTATTTCTTTATAAAAATGTATTAAAAGCCAGGCTTGGTGGCCCCTAGCCTGGCTTGGTGCACCTCCTGACCAGTGCAATGTCAGCACCCACAGAGGCAGCACCACAGTGCCCTTTCCTGGAGGTCTGAATGGTACTTCCGAGGCTGTCACTCTTCCTTTCTTTCCTGCACTTTCCTCTTTGTTGGCCAATCCACTCTTCCAGTTTTTATCTTTGTAACATTCCGAGTGGTTTTATTACTAGGAATCTAAGAAGCAAGATGACTACACGTGGTGTTGTCTGTACAGGAACCGAGCTGTGCATGCGGAGGGAAGGGCCCTGCAGATTCTGAAGGGAGTGGTGTGGTTGGTCACTGATCGCCACTTGCTCCTGGTGTTCATGTAGAGGCTGGTGGGCAGAGGTGCTAGGAGCGACGTGTGCACTTTGAAGGCACAGTGATAACTGGAGTTTGAACTGTTATGTAAATAAACTGTGAGCATTCAGTGCAGTGAAATCTCTCTAAGAATCCCCTTCATGTCCAACCAACAGCCCCCGGGCTGCATGCAGCCCAGGACAGCTTTGAATGAGGCCCAACAAACATTTGTAAGCTTTCTTAAAACATTATGAGGTATTTTTTGTCATTTTTTTTCTTTAGCTCATCAGCTTTTGTTAGTGTTAATGTATTTTATGTGCAGTCCAAGACAGTTCTTCTTCCAGTGTGGCCCAGGAAAGCCAAAAGATTGGACACTCCTGATAAAGTGTTTTGCTGGCATCACTGGGCGCTGTGAGAATCGGAGCCTGCAGAGTGAGGACTGCCCAGGGGTGTGGCATCTGCACAGTTACAGCTGAAAATGCCGTTTCCCACAGTGGGGTTTACTGTCCACTGGGGAAAGTGATGAGAAAAGTTCACCATGTAACTTTATTCTCAGGTGCGACTAAATCCCGGACACATCCTGCTGTTCTGACACAGCTTCACCTCATGCTCTCACTGGGGCTGCATGGACCTTGAACCCTGCCCCATCAGCTTCTCCATTCCTCCTGGTTTGTCATGAGTCAAGTCTGATGGCCTCATCCACAAAACCGATCCTCTTCTCTTTCCACTTGTCCTTCCTCATCTCAGTCCTCAGAGCCCGTGCTGCCCCTGCCTCTGCACTTCGCAGATTAGTGAAAACTGCCATTTCTGGATCTTTCCAGTTAGACATAAAGTTCCACAAGGTCCAGAACTGCCGTAGAATCCTCATTTATAGACTCTGACTTTGCCATCTTTCCCTTAATACTATAGATGGCACCAGCATTGACCCAGCTACTCATTCAGGGAAGCCACTCAAGAAATGGATGACAAATTCCGTTGCGGCTTCTGCCATGGGACTAGTCCCCGATTCCTTTCCCCATTGCTGTTGCTTTAGTGAAGGCGGTCATCTCTTTTTCAGGTCTCTGGTTCTGGCTTCCCCTTCAGCCACCGTCCACTCTTCTGAAGCATTGCTTCTTTGACATAAGTCTGATACAGCACATTCAGGCCTTACATGGATCACTTTACAGACTCCCCAGTAGCCACAGCAGGATCTTCAAGGAGGGTGTGTACAGCCCAGGGAATGCCCAAGATGATCTTTTAAAGTGTGGAAAGGAAATTGTGAAAACTCTAATTACACTGATTTTCACCTAAATAAGAATTTTTTAAAACAATACTAGTGTTAGCTTAGTACATGATAGTATATGTATCTAATGCACGCTCATGTACAAATGAGTTACGATGTTCAAAATATGTTTACTGCTTGAGTTACCCCAAAAGCGTAAGGCAAAACTAGAACTAAAATAGGCATACCTTACAGTAACTTGTTTAGATTTGCAACAATAAACATAGTAGGAATCACATCCCAAATGTGTTTTCCATGTCCCTGTTTCCGAACCCCCAAAGTGCTGAGAAATGCACAATTACAGGTATCAGTGTCATTCAAGGACGTGGCTGGGGGTCCGCCAGGAGGATTGGCAGCGCTTGGGCCCTGTTCAGAGGACCCTGTACCGCGATGTGATGCTGGACAACTGGAGACACCTCATCTCGGCACGAGCGGACTTGACGGCATGCATTTTCTTTTTTTTTGAGACACAGTCTCACTCTGTCACCCAGGCTGGAGTGCAGTGGTGTGATCTCAGCTCACTGCAATCTCTGCCCCCCAGGTTGAAGTGATTCTCATGCCTCAGCCTCCCGAATACCTGGGATAACAGGCATGCACCATCACACATGGCTAATTTTTTTGTGTTTTTAGTTGAGACCGGGTTTCTCCGTGTTGGCCAGGCTGGTCTCAAACTCCTGACCTCAGGTGACCCGTCCACCTCGGCCTCCCAAAGTGCTGGGATTACAGGCATGAGCTACCACACCCGGCTGCATTTCCTTTTTAATTGCAATGCATGTAGACCCTCTCCTGAGCTCAGGGCTGTTCATTCCCGCGGATTCCCCCTGCATGGCCTGGGGTTCTCCTCCTCGGGGTATGAGTCTGTCTATGTGGCTAATAAGCCAGTGCTCATCTCCTCTGTCAAGTGTCGTGCGTGTGTGTGCAGCCATCCCCCTAGGCCTAGGGCAGAAACCCTGCTCACCCAGTGGGGTAAAGGGGAGGCACCTAAAACACTCTTCCCACAGTAGCCACAGTGAGTCTGAAAAACCTCACACCATGCGCTCTCCTGAAAGCCCTCCTGTGGCTGTTCCTCTCACACGGCAGAGACAACTCCCTCACCCACATCCAGGGGGCTGCACACAGGCTGGCCCTGTTACCCCGACTTCAGCCCTCTCCGCTCACTTTCATTGACACTTGAGCCACAGGTCCTTCCTCCTGGGAAATAGCGGGCCACTCTGCTCTCCAGGCATTTATCCCTGCTGTCACCCCGGCCTGACATTCCCTTTCCACACACAGCCATGCTCTCCAGGCATTTATCCCTGCTGTCACCCCCGCCTGACATTCCCTTTCCACACACAGCCACGTCACCATCCTCACTCCCTTCAGAACCATATCCCAATGTCAGCCTTACATAGCTCTTGCCATCACTTTCTCAAGCCCCTAGCTGGCACTCCATGTCCCTCGTCCTGCCCTTCACCTGCTCCACTTTCCTCCATGGAACTCCCTGATGATGTGCCACGTGCTCTACTCATTCATTTTGCTTTTTTCCTCTGTCTGCCCAGCTGGAGAGAATTTTGTGCTCAGCAAAAATGTTTGTGGCTCGCAAAGGGTGTGGCCGTGTTCTAGCCTCCCTGCCCCACTGGGACCGCGTGTCTCCCTTTGCCCCTCCCCTGTCTGCTGTGGGTGCAGAAGGCTGTCCTTCGTGTGTTGACTCAGTCTGCCCTGGGGCTGGGCCCAGAAAGCCCCAAGCCCAGAAGCCATTTTCACTGCCAGTGTGGACTTGGTGGATGAGCTCAGCTACCAGAACCCTGCTGGATCATCTCCAAGAGCCAATCATCTCAGGGACCCTGAAGTCGACTGTGGAACAGCTGCCAACACAGCTTTGAAATGCTCAGCAATATGAAGAGTGCTGACAGCCCCTGCCTGCTGAGGCACACGGGGCTATGGTATTTCACTTCTATTACAGTAACATGACTTTAGTTGAGGATGGGATGAAAGAATAAAGATGCAGCCTGGGCAATATAGTGAGCCCCCATTTCTACAAAGAATAAAAAATTTATCCAGGCAAGGTGCACCTGTAGTCCCAGCAACTCTGGAGACTGATGGAGGATGGCTTGAACTTGGGAGGTCAAGGATGTAGTGAGCTGTGATCATGCCACTGCACTCCAACCTGGGTGCCAGAGAAAGACTGTCTCAAAAAAAAAAAAAAGAGAAAGAGAGAATAAAAAAAGATTAATTCATCATCTTGGACATAAACAATATTTTCTTGAGTGTTACTCAGATGTGTTTTTACTTCCTGCCCTTCCAAGAAAAATACTGGTAATGGCTCTGCCTCTTTCAGCTTGGAGAAGACAGCCAGGCCAGTGAATATGGAACTGTTAGGCCTGAGCAGGCATAAAGGAAATCTCCATTGTGCAGTGTTTTCAGCATAGTTAGTTTGGGATGAGTAAAGGTGTGTGGGGTAATTGCCATGCTTTTTGGCAATCGGGCATGCAAATGGGAAGGTCACAAATCACCCAGTCATACCACTTTGGACAAAGAAATCGGGAGTGTGCATTTCTTTTTCTTCTTATTTTTGCTTTGTTAGAAGTGAGTGTTCACTTTATCTCTGAAGGCATGTGATTGTTATGAAGTCAGCAGTGATGATAGCTCTTTACCCCAAACTGCCAAGGCCAGGGATTACATCAATCATCTCTATCCTGAACATGGTGCCTAGCATTCGGCTGGAGCTCAGCGAGTATTTGTTGAATGAATGAATCAATCCCATTTCGCCTTCTTGCCAGCTCTGGTCTGGGTGGTCGGTACTTTCCTTTTTGAGTACTGCACGGACCCAGGTTTCTGGAGTCTGGACTCAATGGCTTATGTGGGAGCAGCCTCTTCCATTCTGCAGTGGGGATTACTATCCAGAGCCAGGTACAGGCCCCAGAGGAGGGTGCACTGGGGCCACAGGCCCAAGGCCATCCAGTTCCCTTTGCCCAGCTGGGGTCTTGTGGAAGAAGAAAGCCAGTGTCCTGAAATTATTCCTTCCTCACTGCCATCTATACTGGAAATAATCCCAAGGGATTTAGAATAAGCAAAATCAAATTCTGTCATTTCTAAATTTTCTAAGATGAACACGTATAGCTTTTATACACAGAAAAACCATATTAAAACACAAACACACGGCCGGGCGTGGTGGCTGATGCCTGTAATCCCAGCACTTTGGGAGGCCGAGGCGGGTGGATCAGGAGGTCAGGAGATCGAGACCATCCTGGCTAACACGGTAAAACCCCGTTTCTACTAAAAAATACAAAAAAGTTAGCCGGGTGTGGTGGCGGGCGCCTGTAGTCCCAGCTACTCGAGAGGCTGAGGCAGGAGAATGGCGTGAACCCAGGAGGCAGAGCTTGCAGTGAGCCGAGATGGCGCCACTGCACTCCAGCCTGGGCGACAGAGCGAGACTCCGTCTCAAAACAAAAACAAAAACAAAAACAAAACACAAACACACATACAACCTCGCTGGGTCTTGAGAAAGCTTGTCACTGGGGAGGTTAATGGAAATTGTACATTTTTCTCTGTTAGCTAGTTAAAAGTCTTTAAAAATCCTGCCTCAATTTAACCTTGGGAAATGGAACTTTATAGGTGGTTCAGGAATGTGAAGATTCACACATCACAAAATATTTAAATGTATTTGACGTGTGATAAACATGTAAATATCATAGTGCTGTGACTTTGCTTATGAGTTATATATTTCTAATCATTTTAATGTTATCACGATTTTTTAAAAAGTTCTTTTATATGATAGTTATTATTTGGGGTTACTGTGTAAGAAAGCCATTTAGCCACCAGAGGGCGATGTGACACAGCAGAAAGTAGGTCTCCGTTCGGCTGAAACCTTTACTTTTCAAAACGGGAAATCACCAGCCTGGCCAACATGGTGAAACCTAAAAAAAATACAAACATTAGCCGGGCGCGGTGGCAGACGCCTGTAATCCCAGCTACTCAGGAGGCTGAGGCAAGAGAATCGCTTGAACTGGGGAGGCGAAGGTTGCAGTGAGCCGAGATTGTGCCACTGCACTCCAGCCTGGGCGACAGAGCGAGACTCCGTCTCAAAACAAACCAAAACAAAACCAAAACAAAACAAAATAAAACACAACAAAACGAGAACTCAAAATGGAATTCTAAGGAAGTGGTCACTTTTATATATGTCCATGTTAAAGTTCTAGAGCTGTTGATAAATATAAAAACAATAATGGTAAGTTATTCCAGTAGGAGATGTTCATTATTTTCTTTATTAATGCTTAATGTTTTTCAGTTCATATTTCAAATATATGTATTCTATATGAAATTTTCATAAAATGGAGAATGGCATGCTATCTAAAATGTAAAAAACACATATACATGTATATATACCCAGATATCTAGATTTTGCTGTTGCAATTATAGAAGAAAACAATGACCTCTGTGCCATTAAAAAAGCGTTTGATTTTTCCACATTTTTTTCTCTTTTCCTTAGGGACTCAGAGTTGCAATGAAGTGGTTTTTGAAGGTTCTGTCTTGTAATATTGTTCTGCTGTATAGAAACTCAAAAAGACTTTGTAACAATAGACCTTATTAGAATTAACTTACCTGTATTTTTACTTTATTTTTGCGGAAGACCAGAGTTTCATTATTATTCAAATCAGACTTCTTGAGCATTTGTTTTGTTTTGTTTTAAGATGGAGCCTCGCACTATTGCCTGGGCTGGAGTGCAATGGTGTGATCTCAGCTCACTGCAACTTCTGCCTCCAGGGTTCAAGCGATTCTCCTGCCTCAGCCTTCCAAGTAGCTGGGATTACAGGTGCCCGCCACCACGCTTAGCTGTTTTTTTGTATTTTTAGTAGAGACGGTGTTTCATTATGTTGGCCAGGCTGCTCTCCAAATCCTCACCTCGTGATCCGCCCGCCTCGGCCTCCCAAAGTGCTGGAATTACAGGCGTAAGCCACCGTGCTCAGCTTAAGTTTTTAGAGACAATTTGACGGGTAGGGGCTAGAGAAGTGGGGAGTGCTGATTGATCAAGTTGGAGATGGAATCATAGGGGGTCGAAGTGAGGTTTCCTTGCTATCTTCTGTTCCTGGGTAGGATCTCAGAACTGATTGAGCCAGATTACCAGTCTAGGCGGTGTCAGCTGATCCATGGAGTGCAGGGTCTGCAAATTCCTTCCCGAGGTTAGTTCGGCCTATGCCCAGGAATGAACAAGGACAGCTTAAAGGTTAGAAGCAAGATGGAGTCGGTTAGGTCTGATCTCTTTCACTGTCATTATTTTCTCAGTTATAATTTTTGCAAAGGCTGTTTCAATCCCTCCCTTAGGGTTTCATAGCACCTTATTCTTAAGGTGTGGGCTATGAAGATGGGAAAAGGCCGTCGATCACTCTGGATTCTTCCTGCAGACAGGGGGCATAGTGGGGTAGGTGTTGACCCCAAGGTGAGAGGAGTGGAACTGCTTTGCAGCTGTCTGAGCTGTTTGAGTGTACTCACGCAGGCCAGGCTGAGCTTCCAAGGCTTTCATGACAAAGGCATTCGTATTCTCATCTACAGTTTTAGTACGACATTTACACAAACAGTGTACAATAAGGTAAGTAATGAGTTCCGGAACAAGGAGTGCCATTCCCAGTTTTAAAAGTAAAGACTTAAAAGCATTAGTTTGAGCACTTGTAGCCTCCCAAAATTTAGGATTCAGTCTAAATGGCAGAAAAAAAAATCCTCAAAAACAACTAACAACAGGTGTACTGTAGTTTTTGAAACAATTTTTTCTCTCTTCAGTTCTTATTTTTATTAAAAACAAATCCTGATAGGACCGATTTTGTTTGTGAAATAAACTTTAATTTTATTATACTTGGCATGATTATTTGCAAAGAGCACAGCAAGAATAATTATTTTTCACATGGGCCTTTTAAGTTGGCTTTGATGGAACTCTGCATAAAGAGTCTTAGATAGACTTTTTTTAAAGCCCATCCCAGCCATGGGTTTGTACCCTCAAATGCCTATGAGTTGGGTACATTCCCCTCTTCTTGAGATCCCAAGATAACTTAAGATTCCGGGGCCTTTTGGAAAGTGACATTCTTTACTTACCATACGTTAGGAACCCTGTACAGGGACTGCGTAGACAAGGTATGAGGCCAGTTTACCCTAGGGGTTTTTATTGGCTTTGTAAATCAAGTTTGATTCCTTAAACAAAAGCATGCCATCCCAGTCAAAACCTTAGTAAAATAAACAGTTTCTCCAATTGTGTCCTGTTGCAAAAGAAAACATTCTTATTGCACTTATGCAAATAATTATGTTGCCATAAATTAAGAATACTTGCAAATAGCTTCCAGATTCTTGAGAAATCAGGTAGAGAGAAACAAACATGCTCCAAATTTTGTTCACAGGAGTATATTTTTCTCAGTTGTTAAAAGCTGTAATCAAAAGAAAAGTTTTCTTGGCTCTCTGAAAAATGAAAAGGAACAGCCACATTTTAAGCAAAAAAAAAAAAGGAAAAGATTAGTTCAGTTTTCTATTAGTTCATTCCATTCAGTAAACTCTTGTTCTGCTTAATGTTCCTGAACAAGTCAGCTCTCCATGAGAGTCCTGAACGTTTTTTCCTTTATTCTAATGTTGCAATCTCCAAAGCTATCAGAAACTTGCATTCAAGAGCACCCATCCAAGTTTCATAGCTGATTATAAAACAAGAAAATTTTTAACCTCTGTGGCACACAATAATTTAATGTATCAATTATAATTATTACTGATAACATATGCTAAGGCATATCAAACTTATAAGAATCTTATACAGTTTTGAAACACATGCTAATAACGTATTTATATGAATATAACCCAAAGAAAGTTAAACATCATTTTATATTTGGCCATGTTTTCTGCATGATTTTAATACATTAAATAAGCAGATTATATCTTTTTGGACTGTAGGGGACCTATTTTTGTTTAACTTCTAATTTGATCTTGTCAGGTTTGTCAAATATGGTTTAAAACACTGGATGTCACAAAATAGAATGCCAGGTCACCATAAGTCAGTTATTTAGCCAAAATGATAACTCACAAAGTTTTAAAAAGGAAAAAACCTTTAGTTTGATAGAAAAGAGACTCAGCTTCTCAAACTACAAGACCCAGTGAAGCCGTCCCCTGAATTGGTCACTTCTCTCTCCCCTCCCTTAAAAGGCAAACAAAATTTTTTCATTGCTTCTCAATATTACACAAGAATCTTTTTCAAAAGAGAAAACCAAATTTCATGTTTGCATTATTGCACCTTTAATGCTAAAGCTAGTTTTTATTAAAATTTTATAAATCTATCCAGTTTTAATTAGTTTGACCATAAGTTAATGTTCTTATAAACCTTTTATAACCCTTTACAATTTAGTTGTTGTTGTTACAGAGCAGAACCATGTTTTAAGAAAACTCTGTTATGCTTTTATTCCAATGTTCAACTTATGGAAACATTGACTAATACCCCTTTAACTTTAGCCAATATGTTTACACACAGAATCTCTTTTACAATTAATTTTTTATAAACTTTTCACAACTTGCTTAAACCTTTAGGCCGGGCGCGGTGGCTCACGCCTGTAATCCCAGCACTTTGGGAGGCCGAGGCGGGCGGATCACGAGGTCAGGAGATCGAGACCATCCCGGCTAAAATGGTGAAACCCCGTCTCTACTAAAAATACAAAAAATTAGCCAGGCGTAGTGGCGGGCGCCTGTAGTCCCAGCTACTTGGGAGGCTGAGGCAGGAGAATGGCGTGAACCTGGGAGGCGGAGCTTGCAGTGAGCCGAGATTGCGCCACTGCACTCCAGCCTGGGCGACAGAGCGAGACTCCATCTCAAAAAACAAAAGCAAACAAACAAAAAAAAAACCTTTAGACTTTTCCTGTCTCACTTAAAACAATAACCCTCTAAACTTGGGAAAGAAATCCATATTCCCAGGTCTTCTTATAATCTTTTACCAAAAGTACATTCTACTTTTCTTACATGCCTTGAATGTGGAAATGTTTCTTCAGTAGCCTCAATACATGTTACACTGTTAACTCTGTGCAACTTCTATTTTTGGTGAAAAACCTGGTTAGTAGGACATTTTAATTATGTACCAAGTGTGGAGCTTAGGACAGACAAAGGACAGAAGTGCAGATCAAGTCTGACTTTTTCCAGCATAGCTATGGAATGTGGCTATCTCCACATATGCCCAGCACTTACCTAGCAGTAACGCAGGTAAGTGTATAGTTAAGAGTCACAGTGGCGTTTGTGAAGCATTTAGGCAGCCTAATAACCTTTAAATTGTACAACGTTTCTTGCATAAATTCCCTTTCATGAATCCTTTCATGGCTTAGACCATCTATTACATGCTTGGACAACGGTCATTTCAACAACCAGTCATTTCACTTTAGGACAAAAATTTACCATACAAGATCCTTTCTTATACAAAATCTCTTTTCTTTTTAACCTTCTTTGAGCAGCTAGGGGGCTAATTTCACATGTCACCGGGCCTTATCTAGAAAGTAATGACTCCAAGCTAGGTAAATTGAACAATTTTTAAAAGTTAAAGAAGCAGTTTATGATCTTAAAGCATTTAGCAAACCTAACATCAGACCCAATTTAGACCAAATGTCTAAATTTTGAAGACATTTTATTTTACCAATTTTTTTTTTTAGACAAAATCTCACTCTGTCACCCGGGCTGAAGTGCAGTGGCGCAGTCTCAGCTCACTGCAAGCTCCGCCTCCAGGGTTCACGTCATTCTCCTGCCTCAGCCTCCCGAGTAGCTGGGAATGCAGGTGCTCACCACCACGCCTGGCTAATTTTTTTGTATTTTTAGTAGATATGGGGTTTCACCGTGTTAGCCAGGATGGCCTTGATCTCCTGACCTCATGATCTGCCCAGCTCAGCCTCCCAAAGTGCTGGGATTACAGGTGTGAGCCACTGTGCCCAGCCTATTTTATCAATAATTTTTAATCTGTCTTTATTACCAAAAGATTACTAAAGTTAGGTGAACTAAAGGGCATTAGTTTTAATTTTACTGACAAAATATTTGACTTAAGTGCCTACTTTTCTTTAAACCAATTAATTAGAGCTTTTATGTAAACATCACACACAAAACATATATAAATACATAGACAGACAGAAGATCCAGTAGTTGTAAGATTTTTCATTTGCCAGTTCTTAAGTTTCCTAGTGGGATTACTAGATTCAGGCTGGAGCCCTTTGAAAAATAGGGCTGGGAAAGCTTGCAATTTCTAGGGCCTAATAAGCAGGCACAGCTGGAAGGCAAAAACAGATCCCCCAAATTAAGGGTGCCATTTTATATGGGATCCTGGATTCCCCCCAAAAAGAGGGAAATACTACAGAAGAAGCTAGTGCAGTGCTTCTACCCTGCATTTTATTGCAAGACAATCCAAAGCCAATCAGCCCATTTTGTAATCAGCCCATCCCCCATGGGATTCTCATCTCTCAGTGGGGGATAGGGATGTTTTCATACCTTCTAGGTGGTCAAGAGTGTGCTTCTCTGATCCAAGCATGCAAGGAGCCAAGTATTCCTCCTAATTGCCATTAGCAGTCCCTTATAGTGTATTTCCTATCTGGTTATTATAAACCATGGCTAAAAGCTCTCCCATAATGTGAAGCAATTTCTGATATACCCAAAAGTAAAAAAAAAAAACAAAAAAAGTCAGGTAACATAATGTAAAATTGAAAATTGAACCGAGACTTAGATTTTGAGGGAGATCTATCAACTTTCAGCTCCTGGGGTTTCATGAGGAAAATGGAGGTTTTTCCCAGAATGGGGTCTGTGATGCCTCCTCTGTTTTTCCCTATGAGTCCCAGGCTGTTAGAATTTATCTAGGTTCTCTCAGGTGTGCTTTAAGCATGGCAAGAAGAAAAAATGGAGAAAATCAATTCAGAAGAAAAGAACTTATTCCAGAAAGACATGAATCTAGAAGAGGAAAAGATAAAGGCCTTTTAAATAGATATAGTTTGGGTACTTTTATTTATTTATTTATTTAATTTTAAGATGTGGTCTATGTTTTCCAGGCTTGTCTCAAACTCCTGCTGAAGCAATCCTCCTGCTTTGGCCTTCTGAAGTACTGGGATTACAGGCATGAAAATAGATATCTAGGGTTACCCCACCCAACCCTGGATGTCTATTTTTAATTAAGCCACTTTTAACCATAGAGCTCTGCTGTTTAAAAAAAAAAAAAAACTTTCAAAATCCCTTATTACCAGGCTCTAGTGAGGACACCCCACATTTCTGGCTTTTGAATTCTATACCAGGTAACCTCTCACATGAAATTAATAAGTTTTAACTAAGGTTATAACTTAACCATGAACTCATGATGTGTTTCAAAGAGATGGTAAGTAGTTTTTTTTAAACAAGAGTTAGAATTTCCCCAGGGTAGTTCACAGAAAGGAAAATTCAAGACAGGAAATCAGAAATTATCCATAGAAAGGGGGGAATCCCTCAAAAAATGGCAGTTACACAAATAACAAACAAGAAGGGAATCATTCCCAAAGCCAAGAATTGAACCTGGGGCAGCCACTGTCAAAAGACAAAAGCCTTGGTTATTGAGCTACATCATTCAGCAGGTTCTGTTGCTCTTCCCAGAAGGAGCCTAGAGGTGCCAATTTTGACCTTGCAAAAGCTTCTACCTGCTCAAGATAATTTTTAGTGCTATGACATGAATCCCCAAATTCCTGTCCGCTGAATGGCAGACACCAAGAGAAAGTATCCCCACATGGTCACAAGGTTAAGCTCTCAAGGGCATAAAACGAAAAGATGGAAACTTTATATGGCACTGGTCTTGGGGACCCCCAGCAAAGTTTGTAAATGACCAGCTGCCAGGCTGGCTTGAAAGGCAGGCTTATAGGGGTCCTAAGCCCACCTTCTCTCCTGTGATACCTCTCTCTCCATTAAAGAACAAAGCAGAAAGATAAATTCTTAGCACAAAGTGCTCCAGATTTGCTACAGCCTAAGACTAGTCTCACAAATCCTTTTTTCTATTTGTAGAAAAGAGAAAACAGAGGAGAGAAGACAAACAGTGATATTTACCATTTGCATTCACACGCACACACACAAACACACAGAGGGAGAGGGAGGGAGAGAGACAGGGAGAGAGAGAGAAATATGAGAAACTTGGTTGGTAAGAATTTCTTACCCTTTTTTCGCCAGCATACCAGGTTTCTGGGTTCCCTTTCTCTGCAGCTTTCAGAAGAACAGAGCAGCTTTGATGACCTTGCTCAGTGTAACATAGCTATGGGAGCCAAGTTCCATTACAAAATAAAATTATGCTTTTCTGTTTGATGGAACCATAGGCATAAGCTTCCCAATTTTGCAAGATGCTGCTCAACAGGCTGCATGGGGAATCAAATTAATATTTTCCATCCCAGCCAAAGCAAAATACATGTAGCAAAACAGACGCAAGTCACTTTGTTCAGCACCAGTGTTGACCTGGCAAGGCTCAAACTTTCTCCTGTTGGCCCCTGTTATCTTTGATCCACACCAGGTGGGAATGGATGATCTCCAAATGGTAATTCAGTGTGTAACCTCTAGGCAAGACAACAAACCTGACAAAAACAAGCAATGGGGAAAGGATTTCCTATTTAATAAATGGTGTGAAAACTGGCTAGCTATACACAGAAAACTGAAACTGGATCTTTTCCTTACACCCTATACAAAAACTAACTCAAGATAAAGTAAAGTCTTAAATGTAAAAGCCAAAACTATAAAAACCCTAGAAAAAAATGTAGGCAATACCATTCAGGTCATAGTCATGGGCATATATTTTATGTTGAAATCGCCAAAAGCAATTGTAATAAAAGCAAAAATTGACAAATGGGAACTAATTAAACTAAAGAGTTTCACGCAGCAAAGAAACTATCATCAGAGTGAACAGACAACCTACAGAATGGGAGAAAATTTTTGCAATGTATCCATCTGACAAAGGTCCAATATCCAGAATCTACAGGGAATTTAAGGAAATTTACAAGAAGAAAACAAAAGACCCCATTAAAAAGTGGGCAAAGGACATGAACAAACACTTCTCAAAAGAAGACATAGATGCAGCCAACAAACATAAGGAAAAAAGCTCAACATCACTGATTGTTAGACAAATGGAAATCAAAACCACAATGAGATACCATCACATGCCAGTCAAAATGGCAATTATTAAAAAGTCAAGAAACAACTGATGCTGGTGAGGTTGGGGAGAAATAGAAACAATTTTACACTGTTGGCAGGAATGTAAATTAGTTCAACCATTGTGGCAGACATTGTGGCGATTCCTCAAAGATTTAGAATGGGAAATACTATTTGACCCAGCAATCCCATTACTGGGTATGTACCCAAAGAATATAAATTATTCTGTTATAAAGATGAATGCACTTATATATTCATTGCAGCACTATTCACAGAAGCAAAGACATGGAATCAACCCAAATGCCCATCGGTGATAGACTGGATAAAGAAAATGTGGTGCATAGACAACATGGAATATTATGCAGCCATAAAAAAGAATGAGATTATGTCCTTTGCAGGGACATGAATGAAGCTGGAAGCCATTATCCTCAGCAAACTAACACAGGAACAGAAAACCAAACACCACACGTTCTCACTTATAAGTGGGAGCTGACCAAAGGGAACACATGCACACAGGTAGGGGAACAACACACTGTGGGGCCTGTCAGAAGCAGGAGAGAGCATCAGGAAAAATAACTAATGCATACGGGGCTTAATACCTATGTGATGGGTTGATAGGTACAGCAAACCACCATGGCACACATTTACCTATGTAACAAACCTGCACATCCTGCACATGTACCCCGGAAGTTAAAATAAAATAATAAAAAATACACAAAAGATGTGAACAGACATTTCTCAAAAGAAGACATATGAATGGCAAACAGGTATATGAAAAGGTGCTCAACATCAATGATATCAGAGAAAGGTAATCAAAACTACAAGGAGATCTCATCTCGCCCCAGTTAAAATGGCTTTCATCCAAAAGACAGACAATGGCAAATGCTGGCGAGGATGTGAAGGGAACCCTCATACACTGTTGGTGGAAATGTGAGTCAGTACAACTTCTATGGAGAACAGTTAGGAGGTTCCTCAAAAACTAAAACTAGAGCTACCTCATGATCCAGCAATCCCACTGCTGGGTACACACCCAGAAGAAAGGAAATCAGTATATTGAAGGGATACTTGCACTCCCATGTTCCTTCTAGCACTGTTCACAATAGCCAAGATTAGGAATCAACCTAGTGAGTGTCCATCAACAGATGAAAGGATAAAGAAAAGGTGGTACATATAAGCAGTGGAGTGCTCTTCAGCCATAAAAAAACAATGAGAGCCTATCATTTGCAATAGCATGGATAGAACTGGAGGTCATTAAGTGAAATCAGGCAAAGAAAGACTAACAAACATCACATGTTCTCTCTTGTGAGAGCTAAAAATTAAACAGTCAAACTCATGGAGATACAGAGTAGAAGGATGGTTACTAGAGGCTGGGAAGGCACAGGGGGAGAGAGACGGGGATGGTTAATGGATAAAGAAGGTAATTAGAAAGAATGAATAAAACTGGGTATTTGTAGTATTTGACAGCAATAGAATGCCTATAGTCAATAATAATTTAATTGTTCATTTAAAAAATAAGGAGTATAATTGGATGGTTTGTAACACAAAGGAAAAAGGCTTGAGGTGATGGACACCCCATTTACCATGCTGTGATTATTACACACTGCATGCCTGTATGAAAGTATCTCATGTGCCCCATTAACATATACACCTACTGTGTGCCCACAAAAATAAATATTAAACTTTTAAAAAACTATGAAAATTGTAATCAAAATTCACAACGATCAATAAGTACAAAAAATGTAAATTCTATGTCTGAGTTGATGCAGGGCAAGAACATATTAAGGGGGAAAGTTAGAACTGCAAACAAATGAGTTCCTAAGAGCAAGAAACTGGAGAAATAACAGAAACTCCAGGGAGAAGTCTAGATTTAAAGATGCAGGAGATTGAGGGACTGGCACAGAGATCTCCACAAAACCAGGTAACATCTGTGTTCCAGGGAACAGAATAGAAAATGGACCCAGGGCTGTCTCTGACAGGGTGAGCAACTGGAGTGGGAAGGAAAGATCTGGGGGACCCAGGAGGGTGGAGGGACTGGAACTGGGACCTGAAGGAGGGGCTGCGCTTCAGCCTCCTCCTCCCACTGCCCCTCCCCTGCCCCCAGGAGCCCTTGGTGAGGAGGAGGCCCCAGCTCTGTGATGCAGGCCTGGGCTCCAGTCCCTAGTCCCAAAAGCGATGCCCAGGGCTCAGTTGCTTGAGGGCAACATTGCACTTCAGATGGAAAAAATGCTCTTTCCTCTGAAGAGCCCTAGTGCCACGTGGCTGGGCCCCAGCTCCACTCCCTGGATTGTGGATTTCATCCTCACCTCAGTGTGGAGCCTGGGCTTCCTCTTCCTATTAGCCCCCTACCTCCCCAGTGTCCCACCCTCACCCCCGCATGGGAGGAAGAGGAGCAGCAGGAAGGTAAGGAGCCCTCAGCCCAGCCCCACAGAGAAAGATTCTCTCTTCTTTTCCTCCCCTCATTTCCACTTTTCCTAAGTAATGAGAGACTCTCCTGCGATGGGAAATCTCATCATCCCTCTAGGGAAGGGCAGAGCAGGCAGGGGTGGGAGTGGGCAGAGGATTCCATCCTCAGCTCCCAGACTATCTGTGACATGCGCGGGAGGCATCAGGGCAAAACCCAACACTGGACTCAGTGGCGAGGACCAGATCAGGAGAGGGGTGAGGTCTCTGTGGGAGGACAGGCCCCAGCTCTGGCTCATCAGCCCCTTTCCAAGGCAGGTGCCTGGGGGTCCAGGCTCCTCTGTGTGGGGTGATCTGGGAGCTGTGCTGAACCCCTGAGAGCCTCCCGCTAGAGCCTGGATTCACGTCTGGCCTCCTCTGAAGCAGAATCCTACTGGCAGCTCAGAGGTGCCTGTAGGCCTGAGCCTGGGTATGCCTTCAGCGGAGGAGCAGGGACTGGGGATATCCAGGGTGGAGTCACACAGAAAACCCCTGCTTGCATTTCCCTAAGAAGGAAAACAGAAAACATTTCATCAATGGTAAACATGAGTAAAAGAAACGCACGCAGAGCTCCCTGAGCTACAGGCAGAAAGCCGTGTCCTTCAAGAGCACTGCGTGTGTGCAGCTGGTCTGGGAAGAGGAGACTGAGAACTGGTCCCAGCCCCTCACCCTTGCTTGCCTCTCGGCATCAAAGGAAGAGATAGGGGAGGCCCAGGAGCAGGAAGAAGATCCCAGCTCTGAATTGTGAGGCCCTACTAATCCCTGAGACTCCCCAGAGGTGACTGAGCATCGTCTGTCCCTGAGGGAATCATTTGCAGAGGCCTGAGAGGGAAGCTCCTGGGAGGGAAATCAGAACCCGGGGCCTCCTCATATTCCCTGTGGGAATGAAGCCATGGGCCCGGGAACCGGTATTGCCCATAAGGGGGCGCTGTGGGGAAGGGACCAAGGCCTGCCAGGATATGGGGGGAGGTCAGGGAGACCCCAGGTCCACGTGGACAGCTGTTCTCCTCGGCCATGGCTGACTCTTCTTAGAGACCACCCCATCCACTCTCCCCACAAGATGGTTGTGACACCCATGAGGGGTTGTACATGGAAGCACTTTTTGCAAATGACAAAGTTCTGCACAATGCACACCTTGCTGTCACCATTGGGGCCATGTGGCCTTGGACACAGATGCATGGGCTTCAGGGTCTAGTTCCCCATGGTGTCCCCTAAAGAGACATCCACCACTCAGCCTCCCATGAGGTTCGCTGGCACCGCCCTCCCCGCCATAACTCTGTCTCCTTACTTCCAGCTTGCAGAATCCTCCTGAGGGAGCTGGAGGAGACTCAGGACCTGACCAACCTTCTGGAAAGATGAGATTCCCCTTCTCTCCATGTCGTCCTTTCTACCAGGGCCTCTGAGGCAGCCCCAGGGTCCAGTGTTGACCTGGGAGGGGGAGGTCCTGGGAAGAGGCGGGAGTGGACTGAAGCCCTGGGCAGGCACAGACAGAGCTCTGTGAAGCCAGCAGTGGCGGAGGTGGAGGAGCTGTGGGCACCAGGTGCCCAGCCCTCCCGACCTCCCAACCCCACCTGCCCCTGGCTGCAGCTTGTGCCTTGTGCAGCCACCTGAGAAAGCTCACTGGGGAGGGTGGCTCCCATCTGCCCTTAGGTGGAGAGCCCTGGGTGATATGTACAAACCAGCTCCTGCTAAGGCCCACCAGCCGCATAGGAAATGCATGCAAGATCCATCTCCTGACAGCTTGTCCCCAAGGACTCCCCCAGTTCCTCTGGCCTCCAACCTGTCACCAGACACAATGACCTTCTCAGAGCCTTTTGGACCACGCTCAACCCTGAGTGCCTCCAGGCCTCCAGAGCCCTTGCTTCCCCTAAAATGCCCTGCAGTCCGGCCACATATGCTTTTCCTTCTTCACCACAGCCCCATGTTCCCGTGGCCTCCTCTCCACCTCCACCCGAACACAGCCTGGCTGGACTTCAGTGTGGCTCCACAATACGCCCTGTCCCCCAGAGCTCCCCTCTACACAACCAGGGGCCACCTTCTCCAACCAGGGTGATCTCTGGCCTTGGGTGCTCCAGCGGTCCCATCCGGGACCTCTCCCGCTGGAGGGAGGCTGCCACCACCTGGGGCCTCTCCACCTGCTCACAGGGCAAATCCCAGCAACAGCATCTTCCCAACCACCCCCCAGAGGCTTCCTTCTGGGGAGACCCCACACCCAGGCAGATGGAGGCAGGTGGCCGCACATTCTTCCATCCCAACGTGCAGAAGCTGCTGGAGACTCATCTCCAAGAGAGCAGTGATGAAGATGTGGCAGGAGAAAGAATGGGGGTGGGCAGACTACCCGCAGATGACATCACTGGGGAAGGAGTGGGACATCACGACTCTAAATCCCTTCTGGAACGTGGCAAACCTACCACAGAAGCTGCCCCATCCTCAGCAGGTCTCTGACGCCATGGCCATGTGGGACCACTTAGAGCAGAAATGCAGCCATCTCTTCTGGGATCTCCCCTCTTTCAATAGCGAGTCCCTGGTGACCATGGCCTGGGTTTCTAGGAACATTTCCTCACAGAATGAGCACTCTGTACCATCGGATAAAGCCTCCACTTCCCTTCCAGGTGAAACTGAGGTTGAGACACCCTCACAGCTTTCCCAGGCACGGCCCCAGCCCCACCACGTGGCCCAGCCCCAACCTTTCACTCCAACCTGGCCCCAGTCCCAGCCCCCGCCTCTAGCTGGGATCCAGACACAGTGGGGCAAATCTCAACCCCTGTCCCAACCTCTTCTCCACCCCAGATTAGGGTCTGTGGAGCATCTTGCCCTACATCCCAGAAGAGGGCACAGTCTGTCATCCCCACTGGAAAAAAGTATCTTGAGTGGCCCTTGCAGAAATGACCAAAGTGGAAGAGGGTTTTGCCCTCTCTCCTCAAAAAGTCTCAGGCTGTCCTGAGCCAGCCCACTTCCCACCTTCCCCAGGAGAGGCCAGCCTCCCTGAACCCTAAGTCAGCCCCCATCCTTCCCGGGATTGCCACCAGCCCTGAGCTCCCAGAGCACCGGTGGCAAGGAAGGAGTGCCATCCACCAGGAGCAGTCCCGTGGCCTCCCAGCAGATTCAAGGCACCTGGAGACCTGCTGCAGCCTAAGGGGGAATTCCCAGGGAGGCCCCAGAGTCAGGCAGAAGCCACGCAGGGGGCCCTCTTGCCCTCCCGGGATTCTGAATTTGTAGGAAAGGGCACGAAGGATGTGCAGAAAGCAGGGCTCAGGAGCTCTGGAAGGTTCTCTGGGAAGGGGTGCTTAGGGTCCAAACTAGAGCCAGAACCAGGATCAAGGCTCAGGAAGGACTTCAGTGAAGGTTCTGGAGAAAGACAAGGAGGAAGCAGAAGGTGATTTCAGGAGGCCCTGGAAGTACCAATCAGTAAGTTCTGCACCCAGGGACCCAGAAAAGCAGCATCTGGAAAACAAGCCACAGGTCCATCTGGACAGGAAGGTGGGGGAGATCAAGGAGGGCTGGATCCCTGTGTCTGTGCATCGCTCCTAATTCATGGCCAAACATGCCATTCCCAAGTCTGACACCCACAGGAAATCGAGAAAGGTGACATCCTGGAGGGGTGGGAAAGCCCACGTGAACACCTCCCAGGAGCTGTCCTTCCTCCATCCCTGCACCCAGCAGATGCTGGAAGCACATCTTTTCAAGTTCTGTGTGAGGCACAGGTGGGGTCCAGAACTTCAGTCCTTAGAGCCCATAAATGTCTAGTCAGGGGAGGCTCAGCCTCCACCCCTCCCACACTCCACCATTCTCCCCTGGGCCTCCTGGGAATCTCTGGCTGAATCTGTAGCCAAGGTTGCCATTTTGTCGGGAAAACCTCCCCAGAATGGTCCAGGAGACAATAGAACAACAAGCAAGTCAGCCCCCACCATGAGTGGCCCTGTCCCTGCCCCACCAACTGAGCAGGAGGAAGTCCAGAGGGTCCCAAGAGGGTCCCAGTCAGCTGACACCCATGAGCAATCAGAGGCCTCTCTGACTGGACAGGAGGGCAGGGCATCTTCTCAGTCCCCCATATGCAACCTTGTAGGCAGAACCTGGCAGAGAGGGACTGTCCTGGGGTCCGGGAAACCCAGACTCGAGGGGAGTGTGGGTTCAGAAATGGCTGGGAATGAGGCATGGCTTGAGACTGAGAGCATGTCCCCAGGAGACCCCTGTCATAGCAGAGCCCTGCAAGAGCTCAGCATGGGGTCCCAGTGGGCAAGGGCCAGAGATGCCCTGGAGGCACTGGAGGCCAAGGAGGAAAAGCCCCCTGATTGGAAAGTCACCTTGGGAGCCAGTGTGAGGGCAAGATCAGGAAGTGTTCAGGTGGATCTGAGGAGCACAGGGACTCTGGGGACCACTAGTAACCCCTCAGTGTCTACAATCTGTGTTGCTCAGGATCCAGGGCAGCTGTGCCTGAAAGCACAGGTTGTCAGTGAGATTGCGCTCATAGTGCAGGTGGACTCAGAGGAGCAGCTGCCAGGCCGTGTTTCCAGCATCCTCCTCCAGGAGGGCGCCACAGGCCTGTGCCTTCCAGGCCGCCATGTGGACATGCTCCCAGCCACATACAGGCCACCCACTTAGGCCCCTCTGTCCACCTCCCAGAGTGTGCTCAGTAGGAGGAACACGACAGCTTCCCAGGGGCCATGTGCCCTCCTATGGAAGGGAGGGGACAGACTGGGGCAGCAGGAACCTGGGAGCCCAAAAGTGAAGGCCCCACAGAAGAGTCAGAAGATGCTGGGCTCTTTGGACAAGGGCAAGGCCCACAGGAGGCCCAGACCAGGGGAGCAGGGACACAGGTCCAAAGGACCCAGGACCTCCCAAGCCAGTGGGAGGAGCCACCCTGCCCACACGAGGGAAATAGGAGACAAACAAGAAAGGAAATACAATCAGCCTCAGCCAGAGAAGGGACAGGCACCACCAGAAAGCAACTTCCAGAGAAAGATCAGTCACCGTCCACAGGGTCTACATCCCAGGAAGAGGGGCTCAGGGCAGGAAGACGTCCTGCAGAAAGGCAAGCCTGGGCAGATGCTGTCCAGAGCTGGGGGTCTGGCCCAGCAAGGTTGTTTATGGACAGCATGGCTGATGAAGCCCAGACCATCATCAGAGTTATGGGGCAAATCCTGGTGGACAAACTGGGGATTCAGCAGGGACGTGGTCCCTCAGAGGTCAGTCGCCACAAAGGCGACCTCCACGCCCAGGAGAATGTGCCTTCCTGCTGCCACAGGAGTCACTACTACCAGGAACATAGCAGAGAGATGGGGCTGGTCTGCAGCCCCAAAGCCACCCCCAAGGGCCACAAATGTCCTGTCAAAAACAAGGGCATCAGAGACAGAGACAGCAGTTGGGCCCCCACCTCCCAGGGAGCTTGTGTCCCCAGCTGGTCCCCACCACCACAGGCCATGAGTGGCAAGCACCTCGGGCAGCCCCATCCACAGCTGCAGGAACTGAGGTCTACACAGAGGTGTCTTGCCTCCTGAACCAGACCAGGCTTCCCACACCTCTCCTGGAGGAGACAGGGGGTTCTATCCAAATAACACTGGACGCCTACACAACAAACCTGTCCTGCGTGGGTGACAACAGTCCCCATGTGTTCCTGACTTCCACGGAGAAGTTCCCAATATACCTGTTTTCCCTGCAGAGGTGGTGGCTTCTGTCTGTTCCATGCTAGGCTGCAGGCAAGGGCTCAGTGTCAGCTCCTCCTGAGTGCGGCTTCCAGAATGGCTGGGCCTAGAGGAAGCTGACAGGGACCTGGAGGACCCCCTTTTCTCCCTGTCCCCACACTGTGTCTGGTTTCCAAACTGGATCATGACCCAGAGCCTTCAGGATATGTAAGGACAGCAAACTTACGGAGATCCCACCCGGGCTCTGGCTCACTGCATTCCCTGTTCTAAGGCGACTTCTGTGCTGCTGTAGGGGATGGGTCTACAGGGGCGTCACGGACTGGGGGGTGGTAGGCTCCCCTCAGGCTGGAGGAGTGATGGATCCCAGCAGCCTCCCTGCCTCACAGTAGCCTGGGAATGTAGGGGGTGTCTTGTGCTGGCCCTGGGTCAGAGGGGGGACTGCTCTTTCTGGGATCTCCTGGTGGGGAAGAGATGACACCCTCCCCAGACCCTTTCCTGACTGCTGAGTTCCGGATCTGGGATGGACCTGGGCCCCTCCAGCACTTGGCTCAGGCTTGATAACACCCCTGGGTTCATGTCTGGTGTCCCCTGCCTCACTCTCCAGGGCAGTCTCCCAGCCCACTAGTGTGGGGTGTCTGTTTCAGGAGGCACCTAGGGCTGCTGCCTGCCCCTCTGGCAGGACTCTGTGGTCAGGAATCACAGGAGGAGACCTTGGGGCCCAGGGTGAGAGGTGGGAGAAGAATCAGGGAAGACGAGCATAAGTTTGCAAGTGCAGGATCCACAAGCTGCCCACAGCTGTAACCAGGGTCCTTGCAGTCTGGTGACCATTACAAGCAAAAGTGGTCAGTGCCACTGCCAGGGGAGGGGGACCCAGAAGGCAAGGGCTGGCCTGGGTTACAAAGCACATCTATGGTTCCAGGCCCAGGTGCTGGCAAGGGACACATTGGGGCTCAGAGAATCTGGTCACATGGTTGGCAGGGACAGTCCCCACAGGGCCCAGTCCTGCACTCCCTTCGTCCTGGTACTGGGTCCTTCCTGGCCAT
Source organism: Homo sapiens (assembly GCF_000001405.40). Taxonomy (NCBI): domain Eukaryota; kingdom Metazoa; phylum Chordata; class Mammalia; order Primates; family Hominidae; genus Homo; species Homo sapiens. Next base: position 22,408,132 of record NC_000015.10, read on the forward strand.
CCCCAGGGAAGGCAGGAGCAAGGGCAGGGCAGGCAGGAGCCAGTTCCTCAGAGGGCTCTGCCCAGGGGCCTTCTGCCCAGGGAGAGCTCTGCACCTGCAGGGGCTGCAGAGGCTGAGGACAAGGTGTCAGGTCTGTACCCAGGCCTGGCGGGACCCACACCGGGGACCTGTTTCGAACACGCCCTGGTGTCACTTTGGGTGTCCAGGCTACTGTTGGAGCCAAGTCCTGTCTGGGGTGGTGACCTGGGCAGCTCCAGTGTGGGCCCAACATCTATGGGACCCAGGATCCTGTGACCTGCAGCAGAGGAACCCCACAGGGACCCCCGGTAGACCCCAACACGCAAAGATTCCCACAAAGACCCCACATTCATTGAGATTTCAGAGATTCCCCACAGTGACCCCCAGAGACCCCAACACTGAGACCCCCCCCCATGAAGACCCCCCAGAGGGACCCCCCCACAGAAACCTCTGACAGAGACGCACACGGAGACCCTTCAAAACCAACACAGAGATCCCCACAGAGACACTCACAGTGACTCTAACAGAGACCTGCACAGAGAAAAGATATCAAGGTCACTTTGCCACCCGCTAAAATCCCTAGCACTGCACTTGGTGAAAATGAGCAGCATCTTCCTCATTACCAGCAGCGGCTTTCTCCTGGCGGCCCTCTGCCCTCTTCTAGATAAGATTCCTTGAGATATGAGATGCCGAACAATAGAAAAGCCTCCTCTATCAGACAGCGTCCAACTTAGAGCGACCCCCCGACCCGCTGACAGACCCTTCCCAAGATCACCCAATCACAACTCCCATGCTGATGTCAAACTGTAAGTGTTCATGATAGAAACGGTGAGAGTTCCTCTGATGCCGTCCTTCGGAGACCGCGCTCAGCTCCTCAGGCCATGCTCCCCCTCAATGCCAAGGGAATCCACCCGGCTGGTCTAGGTTGGCCTTGCTCACAGGGCTCCTCCTGCAGGCCTTGTGCTGGAGCACATGGAGCGGGAAGGATCTCGGCTTGGACACAGCTTCCTCAGAAAACCTTGTCCGACTCCCCTGTGAGGGCAGGCCCCCTGTGCTGGGTTCCCCACCCTGGCCCTTCCTCCCTTGTGACAATCTCTGCATGCCTGGGTATGTTTCTCCTAGAACCCTGAAATCTTCTGGTGGGCCCAATGAGGAGGGAGGCGTGCCTCACCACCTGACCACACTCCCGGTACTGACTGTGGCCCCTGTTAAAAATTGTTTCATAAAATCTTCTTAGTTAATGGGCACAGGAAGTAAAGCTTCCTAATCTACCTCATATATAAGTTGCATCACTAAAATCATATTTTCATAAAGGGTATTAGCTCTTTCCAGTAGCCAATATAATGTTTCAAGGAAAATTTGTAAAAATAAATGTGGCATTGATACTTCAAATTTAGTGGTATAAAGAAATTTCCAAATTCAAATTATTCCATCTAAGTTACTTATTTTATAGATCAAATATGAATATTCTTGTAAGTTTTGAAATACTTCAGAGTAAAATTCTGAAGTTTAGATAATACAAATTAAAAAGCAATTTTTCTTAAAAACATTCTAATGTGCCACAAATTTATTTTTAAAAACTCTTACCAAAGAAGATGTATTTTTAAGTAATTTAAATATACAACTTGCATCAGACACATATATTGTAAATACACCCTTCCAAAAATGAGGAGCAGCTATGTGTTTACTTTAACATCTAAGATGCTGAAATATCTATATAACAGGTCACGTACTTAAAGCCACATGTAAAACAGGGGATTGAGAAATAATTCAGCATGCATATTTGTTCTGTTTGAAATTTTTTTAATTATTGAAAATAATTGAAAATCTTACAAAACATCATCTGTTTGAAAGATGTTAGAAAAGAGAGGGTAGAAAAATAGGACTGCATTCTTATTGCCTAACAGTTTAACCTCAGTTATAAATACACACATATTACACATATCTATGTGTGTATATGTGCATAGGTCTGTATACACATACAGACATGGGTGTGTTGTAACATCATTTGGTTAGTATCACTTGTCCTATTTTTTTTCTTGAATACTCCGTTTTTATTATTCTACAGAGAAGGGCACAACGCAATTGGTCTCTAGACTTGCCCAAGTAACTTTCTCTCTCCAGCAGTTTCTGTCAGTTCTTGGGTTTGGAAATTTCCTTCCTGCTCACCTCCACTGGCAGCGTGTTCACCTCACGTTAGGCCCTCTGGTTCAATGCTCCAAAAGTGTGATGAGCATAAAGAGAATTTTCCTCTCAGGAAAACAATAATGGCTGGATCACTGATACACTATGGGTTCATAAAGAAAGGTGAGTCTATTTGATTTGTCTATTAACCTGGAAGAGCACATTGAACATTTTTTCTTTTTTAGAATAAGTACACGTACACATTGATCTTTTACTGAAAATAAAAAAAAATTAAAAGATACATGTAAATAAGAACAAAGGACTTTTATCTAGCCCTAGATCCCAATAACTTCTTTAGAACTCTTTTCCTAAAAGGTTTATAGTACAACCTTTTATATTTAAGTTTGCAAACCATTTCTAGTTAATTAGTGTATAAAGTGCAAGGTTTACACTGAGATTTTGAGCCTGTGTTTATTTTCTCCAGTAACATTTGTTAAAAAGACTATTCTTTCTCTTTCAATTACTTTTGTACCATTGTCAAAAATGAGAAATGAGTTGGGCATATTTACTTGTGTCAATTTCTGAGTTCTTCATTCTGTTCTGCTGACCTATGTGTCCATCTCTCCACCAGTATCATGTGCCTTTTCATATAAACTTAAAATAGGTTTATCTATATGCATAAAAATATGTAGCTGGTGTTTTGATATGACTGTCATTAAGTCTACCCATCAATTTGAAGAGAGTTGACATATTTGCTATCGTGAGTCTTCCAAACCATTAATAAGGTATGTTTGAATTTTAGTTCTTCTCTCAATTCATGCACATTTTGTAATTTTTGCCATCTTGATTCTGCATGTCTTGTCAGATTTATGCCTAAGTATTTTCTTTAGAGCAATTGTAAAGGTATATTCAGTTTCCACACATTCATTTTTAGTTCATAGAAATATGATGAATTTTGGAGGATGGATCATTTATCCTGTGAACTTGCTAAATATTATTTCTACAAGACTTTTTTTAGTTTCTCTGAGACTTTACAAAGACAATCGTGTAATCTGCAATAGAGGCCACTTTCCTTCTTTCTCTTTTTTTTCAATCAGTATGCCTTGTTTCTTGCCCAATTGTGCCGACTAGAACTTTCGGTGCTCTGTCAAATAGCATTGTTGAGAGCAGGTGTCTCTGCCTTGTTTCCACCCTGAGGGGAAAACCATTCATTCTTTCATCATTAAGCATGACATAGCTGTTTGTTTTTGATAAATACTCTTGATAAAGTTCAGGAAGTTTCCTTGTATTTCTAGGTTTCTGAAAGTTTTTATCATAAAACTGTGCTATATTTTGGCAAATGCTCTTTCTGCATCAATTGAGATAAGTAACGTACGTATTTTTGTATCGTGTTTCCGTGTTCAGGTTGATATTCCTTGTGTTTTAATTGACACATGTACACAATTTATATTTAAGATAACTGTAGGCCGGGCGCAGTGGCTCAGGCCTGTAATCCCAGCACTTTGGGAGGCTGAGGCAGGTGGATCACGAGGTCAGGAGATCGAGACCATCCTGGCTAACACGGTGAAACCCCGTCTCTACTAAAAATACAAAAACATTAGCCGGGTGTGGTGGCGGGCGCCTGTGGTCCCAGATACTCGGGACACTGAGGCAGGAGAATGGCGTGAACCCGGGAGGTGGAACTTGCAGTGAGCTGAGATCGCGCCACTGCACTCCAGGCTGGGCGACAGAGCGAGACTCCGTCTCAAAAAAAAAAAAAAAAAAAATGGAAATACCAGAATGCCACCTTCTTTTGCAATGTGGGAGACAGAAGATTTATCTCCCTTCTTGGCCCCACTGACACCATCCGGCAAGGGAATCAGAGCACTGCTGATTCCTTCCACTCTGTGTAAGTGAAGTGGATCATCAGCTCCACACTTGATTTCACTGAACTATGGTGTTCGCAGAGGGGGTTTCCATTGATGTTTGGCTACACTCAGGTGGGTATTCCTTGCTAGGCCATTATTTTCCAGGTTCTTTGGCTGAGACAGCTGGGGTTTTATTAGGTTTGGTTTTGTTGGGTGTGGTTTCTGGTTGGAGGCTTCTGCAGCACTCTCTCCAGGGCAGATGAGAAGAACAGGAGACCCAAGGAACATACCACTGTGTCATTCCCCAGGGAGTCTGTCTTCCTTATTATATTTTTCCAACACTTCCCATGCTCCTTTGTTGTTTTACGTGCAGACTTTCATTTAGAACACAAAGGATGTGATAGTAATGAGGCTTCTCCAACTGGGCTGAAAACACATGTGTTTTTGTCTTAAAATCATAAGTATTTTAAAATATACTTGAATAGGTTGGTGAGAATCCTGGGGAGAATTAACACATGATTGGGAAAAAAAAAGAAACATTCTCAACACTACAAGAAAAAGTCATTTCATAACAGTAAAAACTCTAGCTCACATTATCTGCAACTTACTTACTTATTTTTTCTAGCCTGGTGTCAAAATTATCATTTGCCCCTGTGATAAACAAAATTACCAACCAAAGTGGAGTGTTTCTATGCAGCTTGTTTGGTCTTAACCTTAGAGTATCCAATCAAAATACCATTTTCCAAAGTGTCTTTGATCAGTTTCTTTTTCCTCTTGGAATCCTCTGACTTCCTGGTGGATTTTTTTATTATTATTTTTATTTTGCAAAAAATAAGAAAGAGGTTTTGTAGTGTAGCATTTGGTAGGGTTTGAGAAACCATAGAGACACGTGTCCACCCTCCAGCACTGCACAGAACAGCCGCATCACCCTAAAATTCTGTGTGTGATGCCTTTGTGATCAACCCTTCCCTTTCTCCCAATTGTGGGCAAACTCTGATCTGTTTTCTTGACCTATAATTTTGCCTTCTCCGGAATGTTATACGAATGAAATCATACAATATGTAGACATTTGGGGCTGACTTCTTTCACACAGCAAAACACATGTAAGTTCATCTGTACTGTTGTGTAAGTGAATAGTCTGTTCCTTTGTATTGCTGAATAGCAGTTGATGGTATTGATGCAATAGTCTATCTGTTCACCTGTTGTAAGATGTGTTGGTTAGGCTGGGTGTGGTGGCTCATGCCTATAATCCCAGCACTTTGGGAGGCCAAGGCGGGCAGATCATGAGGTCAGGAGTTCGAGACCAGCCTGGCCAACATAGTGAAACCCTGTCTCTATTAAAAATACAAAAAATTAGCCAGGCATGGTGGTGGGTGCCTGTATTCCCAGCTACTTGGGAAGCTGAGGCAGAAGAATTCCTTGAACCTGGGAGGCGGAGGTTGCAGTGAGCCAAGATCGTGACATTGCACTCCAGCCTGGGTGACAGTGCGAGACTCCGTCTCAAAAAAGAAAAAAAAAAAAAGAAAGATGTCTTGGTTGTTTCCAGGTTTTGGAGATTATAAGTAAAGCTGCTAAAACATTTGCCTAGACTACGGGCTTTTATGTGAATTTGTTTTCATTACACATTGATAAATATATAGGAGTGGAATGGCTGAACCTCACACTGGACATATGTTTTACTTTATAAAAAGCTGCCAAATTATCTCCTAAAGTGACCATGTCATTTTACATTCCCAACAGTAATGAAAGAGAATCTTTGTTGCTACACATCTTCAGGAGCACTTGATATTTTAATTTTTTATTTCTATTCTAATGGCATGTAGTAGTATCCCATTGTAGTTATGTTTTGCATTCCCTTATTAATAACAATAACCATGTTTTCATATGCTTATTTGCCATATGTCTGTCTTCTTTTGAGATGTACGTGCTCAAGATTTTTGCTTGTTTTAAATTGGATTGTTTGTTTTGTATTGTTGAGTTTTAAGGGTTCTTTATTCATTTTGGATAAAAGCTTGTATAAGATACGTGACTGATATGGTCTGACTGTGTCCCCACCCAAATCTCATTTTGAATTGTAGTTCTCATAATCCCTATGTGTTGTGGGAGGGACCTGGCAGAAGGTAGTAGAATCATGGAGGCAGGTTACCCCCATGCTGCTGTTCTCAGATAGTGAGTGAGTTCTCATAAAATCTGATGGTTTTATATAGGGCTTTTCTTCCTTTGCTAAGCACTTCTCTCTCCTGCCACCATGTGAAGAACAACATGTTTGTTTGCCTTCTGCCATGATTGTAAGTTTCCTGAGGCTTTGCCAGCCTCATGGAACTGTGAGTCAATTAAACCTCTTTCCTGGTAAATTACCCAGCCTCAAGCAGTTCTTTATAGCAGCAGCAGAACAGACTAATACAGTGACTTAATATTTTTCCCTGATTGTTTTAGCTTTTTGCTCTTGTAATGGTTCTTTCACAGAATGAGCATTTTTAGATATAACAAAGTCTGCTTTTTCATTTTTTCTTTTATGGATCATGTGTATGGTGTTTTATCTAAAAACTCATCAATGACCCCAAAGTCATACCTAATTTCCCCTGTTTTATGATAGTATTTTATTGCTGTATACTTTACACTTTTATATGGTCTATTTCAGTCCACTTTTGTAAAAGGTGTAAAATACGCATTAAGTTTCGTTTTTTTTTTACATGGGGAGATCCCATTATTACATCCCCATTTACAGAATAGATTATACTTTCCCCTTTTCCTCTGCATCTTTTTCAAAATGCAGTTGAATATATTTGTGTGGGTCTATTTCTGGGGTCTGTATTCATTCCATTGGTCTACGTATCTAGTGTTTTAACAATATTTTAACAAAACCACAATATTTTGAGAACTGTAGCATAATAGTAAGCCTTGTAATCAGTAGTTTATGTCCTCTAACTTTTTTTCAGAAGTGTTTTGACAATTCTAGTTATTTTGTTTTCCATGTAAATTTTAGAATCTCCTTGGTGATATCTACAAAAAAAAAAAAACTTACAGGAATTTTCATTGTTAATGAAGGAACTCTACAAGCAGAAATGGAAAAGACTGGCATCTTAACTATATTGAGACTCTGAATTCATAAATATTTCATTCCCCTCTTTTTAAATTTTCTATTTATTGCATTTATATTTTGTAGTTTTCAGCATACAGATCCTGCACTTCTATTGTTACATTAATACCTAAGCACTTAATTTTTGCTTCTATTTTAAATAGTAATTTAATTTTTTCAACTGTTAATTACTCACACATAGGAAAATTATTGACATTCTATATTGACCTTTGATAATAAAACACTTAATTTCACGTATTTATTTTAGAAGCTTTTCATAAATACTGTAGACTGTGTATATAAAGATTAGTTTTATCAGCAAATAGAGGCAGTTTTACTTCTTCCTTTGCAATATGTATGTTATTTATTTCTTATTCCTGTCTTATTGCACTTTGCAAATTTTCTAATACAATATCGAATAGGACCTGTCCCCAGTCTTAAGGAAAAATCATTCAGTCATCACCATATAGTATACAGATATAAACATATATCCTAAGTTCTTTTATTCCTAATTTTATGAGTTTTGGTCAGAAATAGATGTTGGATTTCATCGAATGCTCTTCCTGCATCTCTTGAGAAGAATATTTTAAAAATATTCTATAGCAGATTACTTGGATTGGATTTTAATAGTGAATCAGCCTTGTTTTTATTGGACATAATGAATCATCCTACATGGGGAGATGTTCAATTTGATGTCACAATATTTTGTTGATATTTTTTCATATATGTCCATGACTGATATTTGTCTATAGTCTTCTTTTCTCTCCATATCATTTTTTGGTTTTGGTGTTATTGTAATGCTGGCCTTATAAAATGAGTTGGGAGTGCTCCCATCTCATCTATTTTCTCTAAAAGATTGTGTACAGTCAAAATTATTTATCCTTCAAATATTTGATAGAAATCAGTAGTGAAAGAACATGTGACTAGATTTTTTGGTAGGTTTTATTTACAAATGCAATTTCTTAATTAATACAGGACTATTTGTTACCTGTTTCTTCTTCAGTGAGACTTGGTAGTATGTGTTGTGTCTCTAGAGGAATTTATTTTTTTCATCTCATCTATTAGATTTGTGTGCATAAAATTATTTTTAGCTTTACTTATTTATGGTATAGTGTGTATTGATAGCTTGTCTTTCAGTCCTGCTGTTAGTAATCTGTAGTCTCTCTTCTCTTTCCCTTTTTCTCTCTTTGGTTTTGAATTTCACTTATTTCTGCCCTAATTGTTATTAGCTCCTTTCTTTAGTTCCTTAGATTTAAGTTGTTGTTCTTTCTCTACGTTCCTAAAGAAGAATCTTAGGCTACTGAGGTGAGATTACTCTTTTCAAAGAACCAACTTTTAGCTACGTTTATTTCTTCTACTGCTTTCCAACCTTCTATTTTATTGATTTATGCTCTAATCTTTATTATTTCTTTACTTCTGCTAGCTTCAGATTTAGTTTTCTCTGGTTTTTATACTGCCTTTTAGGTGTAGAGTGAGGTTACTGATTTGAGCTTTTTTTAAATGTAGTTGTTTATGTCCATACATTTTCCTTCAAACTCTACTTTCACTGCAGTCACTAAGTTTTGGTATGTTTTGTTTTTATTTGTCTTAAGATACTTTATAATTTCACTTATGATTTATTCTTTCACTGGTAGTTTAAGAGTGTAGTGTTTAATTTCTACATATTTGTGAATTTTTCAGGTTTCATTTTTTATTTATGTTTCCTCCATTGTGGTTGTAAATTATATTTTGTATGATTTAAAACTTTTGTAAATGATTAGGACATATTTTTGTGGACGAAGATATGACCTATCCTAGAGAAAGTTCCATATCCACTTAAAAGGAATGTATATTCTGCTGTTTTGGGGTGGACTGTTCTGTATATGTGTATTAGCTCTAAATGGCTTATACTGTTGTTCAAGTCTTCTATTTCTCATGAAGCTTCTGTCTGGTTTTTCTATCCATTAATTAAAATGAGGTATTGAAGTGTCCAACTACTATTATAGAACTGTGTGCTTATCCTTTCAATCCTGTTCATTTTTTTTCAGCTTTACTGAGGTATATTTGAGAAATAAATATTGTACATATTCAAAGTTTACAATGTGATGTTTCTATCTACATGCGCATTTTGAAATGATTACCAAAATGAAGTCAATTAACATATTAATTACCTCGCATAATAGTTACCTTTTTTGTGTGCATGCATGGGATAAGAATACTTAACCATAACCCTGCAGAGTGGCCATTCCAGCTGCTCCAGGCTCCTGCAGAGGAGGAGCGGGGCGGGTGGCACCACCAGGGGGGCCCTCAGGCCTGGCGCGCACGCATTTCGGAGGCTGCCCAGGCCAAGGTGCAGCTGCCCTCTGCCCTGTGTGTGCAGGTAGCAGCCGCCTGTCAACTCCCGAGCCCGGTCGCGCTGCCAGCGTCGCAGAACCGGGGTCAGATGTCCCGGCGGCTGCACAGGAGTGAGAACTGAGAACCTGCCGCTCAAAGCCATCACAGGTGACTGCGGAGTCCCCATGCCAGCAGCTCCTGTCTCCCTGTGGTGGAAGAGCCGGGCGGGATGCGCGGCTTGGGGCTTCTCAGCCTGGGCGCCCTGGCGATCCGCAGGCCTCCCGGGCCAGGCCCCTCCAGCCCGCCTGGGCACCCAAGCTGCAGCCACCCTCTGTGTGCAGGCAGCAGCCTCTGGGGAACCTCTAAGCCCGCCTGCACTCGTAACATCTCAGAACCGGGGACAGATGTCCCGGTGGCTAGAGCCAAGCCAGATGGTCTGCCCGATGGCGGCTACACAGGGGCGAGAACCTGCCACTTAATCCCATCCCCGGTGGCTGCGGAGGGCCCCTGGCCAGCGGTCCTGAGCTCTGGCAGAGGCGGGGGCAGGGCCTGGCGGGCTCTCAGGCTCGGTGTACTCGCGATCCAGAGGCCGCCCAGGCCATGTTCCACTGCCTGGACACCCAAGCTGTAGCCGCCCTCCGCCTGCAAGCAGTAGCTGCCTGGCAACTCCCAAGCTCGCTCGCGCTCCCAGCATCGCAGAACCAGGGCCAAATGTCACCGTGGCTGCGGCCAAGCCAGGCGGTCTGCCCGGCGGCGGCTGCAGAGGGGCGAGAACTGAGAACCTGCCGCTCAACCCCATCTCTGTAGGCTGCGGAGTGGGGTCCGGACTCCCTCGGACGGCCTGGCCAGCAGTTCTGAGGTCCGGCAGAGGAGGAGGGCAGGAGGCACGGCGAAGGGTACGGACTCTCAGGCCGCGCGCGCTCGCAATCCCAAGACTGCCCAGGCCATGCCCCGCTAGCCCTGGGCGCCCAAGCTGCAGCTGCTTTTTTGTTTGTTTTTCTTTTTGCAGGCAGCAGCTGCCAGGCAACCTCCAAGCCCGCCAGCACCCCCAGCCTCGCAGAACTCGGGCCAGTGTCGCCGTGGCTGCAGCCAAGCCCGGCGGTCGGCCTGGCGGCGGCTGCACTAAAAACAAAAACTGGCCTCAGCCCCATCCCCGGTGGCTGCGGAGGGCCCCTGCCAGCGGCCCTATCTTTCTTCAAAGGAGGAGCAGGGCGGCCAGAGCGGCCGGGAGGGCTGCGCGCCTGCGATCCTACGGCGTCCCAGGGGAGCCCAAGAGAACCGGTGAGCCAGCGGCGCCTGCGCCCAAGCTGTAGCCGCCCCTTGCGGACCGCGCCACTTGGGAGAGGCTTCCGGAGTCCCCGCGGGCGCTGAGCTGCAAGCGTGCGCCTACAGGCTTCGCTTGGCTTACTCGGTCTGAGAGGTCGGAGGCTGCCAGTGTCGCTGCTGAAGGCTGTTAAAACCAGCTACACAACCATCTGAAAGCCATTTTCCTCCCTCTGGTTAAAAACAGTCATATGTCGCTGGGCGCGGTGGCTCACGCCTGTAATCCCAGCACTCTGGGAGGCCGAGGCAGGCGGATCACGAGGTCAGGAGATCCAGACCATCCTGGCTAATACGGTGAAACTCCGTCTCTGCTAAAAAATACAAAAAATTAGCCGGCCGTGGTGGCGGGCGCCTGTAGTCCCAGCTACTCGGGAGGCTGAGGCAGGAGAATGGCGTGAATCCAGGAGGTGGAGGTTGCAGTGAGCTGAGATCACGCCACTGCACTCCAGCCTGGGCGACAGAGCGAGACTCCGTCTCAAAACAAACAAACAAACAAACAAACAAAGAAAACCAGTCATGTGTCTACTGATGATGTAGTTAAGGCTGTGTCTAGATCTATCTCTCAGCAGGGACGTGGTTTCTCAAATGCGAATGTTTGACCGGCAAAAGTTTTGCAGCCAGAGCCTGTGCAAGTATTGGCAGATTGAAAATACAAAATCAAGGCACTTCTCACGCCTAGCTTTTTTTTTTTCTTTTTTGAGACAGAGTCTCACTGTGTTGCCCCAGGCTGCAATGCAATGGTGCGATCTTGGCTCACTGCAACCTCCGCCTCCTGGGTTCAAGCGGTTCTCCTGTCTCAGCCTCCTGAGTAGCTGGGATTACAGGCATGAGCCACCATGCCCAGCTAATTTTTGTATTTTTAGTAGAGATGGGGTTTCACCACGTTGGCCAGGCTGGTCTGGAACTCCTGACCTCAGATGATGCGCCACCTTGGACTCCCAAAGTGTTGAGATTTCAGGCGTGAACCACCGCGCCTGGCTGGAAACTATTTTTGTTTTGTTTTGAGACACGAACTCACTCTGCCGCCCAGGCTAGAGTGTAGTGGCATGATCAAACTCACTAAAGCCTCGACCTCCTGGGCTCAAATAGTCCTCCCCCACCAGCCCCAGAGTAGCTGGGACTACAGGTGTGTGGTACCATGGCTGGTTAATTTTTTTTTTTTTTTTTTAATTTTGAGACAGAGTCTCACTCTGTTGTCCAGGCTGGAGTGGAATGCTGTGATCTCGGCTCACTGCAACCTCCACCTCCTGGGTTCAAGCGATTCTCCTGTCTCAGCCTCCTGAGTAGCTGGGATTACAGGTGTGTGCCACCATGCCCGGCTAATTTTTGTATTTTCAACAGAGACGTGGTTTCACCTCGTTGGCCAGGCTGGTCTTGAACTCCTCGGCTCAAGCGATTCACCTGCCTTGGCCTCCCAAAGTGCTGGGATTACAGGTGTGAGCCACTGAGCATCTGATGTCAAAAAGATTAATAAATGGTGCCTCCTGAGTGGCTGGGATTGCAGGCATGTGCCACCATACCCCATTAGTTGTTTAGTTTTTATTTTTTTTGGTAGAGACAGGGTTTCTCCATGTTGGTCGGGGTGGTCTGGAGCTCCTCCCTCAGGTAATCCGCCGGCCTCGGCCTCCCGGGGTGCTGGGATTGCAGGCGTGAGTCACTGAGCCTGGCCCGAAACCCGGTCCCATAACGGAAAAACAAAACAAAAACCACAAAGATTAGCCGCCCCACAGGTAGTCCCAGCTGCTCCCAAGGCTGACCTAGGAGGATTGCTTGAGCCCGGGGGTGGAGGTGGCAGTGAGCCATGATGGCGCTGCTGCAGTCCAGACAGAGCAACAGAGAGGGACTGTGTCTCAGGAAACGGGAGAGGAAAAAAAAAAGTATACAAAAGTGCTAAATCAAGGAACAGCTTGACAGTATATTATTGAGAGACAAAGAGGCAAAGGTTAGCAGACACCGATGTTCGCTTAGTGGAACTGCAGGTGTCCCCCACAGGAGGGTGCCACTTTTCCAAAAGAAATGTATTATTGACAAAAAAAAAAAAGTTGTAGGTTTGTTACAATATACAAATAGCTAAACTTTATATAGCCACGACCCTCTTCTAGCACTGCTCTAAGCCTTTTCCTGCTCTGGAATAGCTACTATTGTTACCTCCATTGTAGAGAAAACAGATGGGGGAGGTTGTTGTGGAAGGACCAGGGAAACTGACTATGAAATTGACTTGTAAGTTGAGGACTTAAAGGTTCTTCCTGCTTTGCTCCTTACATTGCCACATTTTAGTTAACATACCTCTTAAAATACTGATCCTTTCTGTATTTGGAGGGACTCCTCTTGCAGTTTGAAGTTTTTTCTTACACTAAGCATCTGGTTAGAAGATCATCTCCATTTTATGTCAGTTTAAGTTTAGACATTGTTCAGTAAGGAATGTAAATATGAGCAAACAGTTATCTGATTGAAATAGATAAACTAGAAAAAAAATCACCTATGAGAAAGTCAACAAAATGTCAACTCTGGATTTGTGGCTATTTTCAGAATATTAATTTTTTGATATTTAATGGCATTGTGAATATATTTATTTTTAAGAATTCCTTGTCTTCTACAGATACATATAAGGTAATTAAAAATGATAGGATGTATAGGTTTTACTTCAAAATAATTCAGAGGAAGAAGGAATGTATATAAATGAAGTGGGAATGTAAATGAAACAAAACTGGCTGTGGCCAGGTGTGGTGGCTCACGCCTGTAGTCTCAGCACTTTGGGAGACCGAGGCAGGTGGATCACCTGAGGTCAGGAGTTCAAGACCAGCCTGGCCAACGTGGTGAAACACCATCTCTACTAAAAATACAACAATTAGCCGGATGTGGTGCCGGGTGCCTGTAATCCCAGCTACTCGGGAAGCTGAGGCAGGAGAATCGCTTGAACCTGGGAGGTGGAAGTTGCAGTGAGCCAAGATCATGCCACTGCACTCCAGCCTGGGCAACCACAGCAAAATCCCACCTTTAAAAACAAACAAACAAACAAAAAACAACCAAAAAAAAAAAAACTGTCCATACCATGAATGAAAAATTGTTGATGATGTGTATATGTAGGGCAATTATATCATTTATTATATATAATATATATATTATTTTTCTCAACTTTTTTTTACATCTGAAACTTTCTATTGAACACATGGACATGTCCCTTGATAACTGGGGCTGCTTCCCCATTATTCTCTCAGCAGCCCTTCTGATTTTCACTCCATCTTCATTCTTAGAGATTCTGGATTTTATTTTTTTTTTGGGGAAGTTCAAGTATGTCTTTGCAAGGATTATCCAGCATGTCTACCTACTCAATCATATTATCAGAAACAGAAAAAGTGTCCAGATTCTTGTCTTGTCCTGTTCAGATTTTTTAAATTCCAAGAACAGTCACCTTCTACCAGACACTCTGATGTTGGAAGACAAAGCATATTTGGTAAGTGGCATGATTTCTGGGCTCCGATTTAGAACAGTCACAGCTTTCAACAATCCAAAAATAGCTGACTGTGACTCACCATATTTAGAAAGATGGAGATTATTAAAAAAAGAAAACCTTAATTTATTATGTGACCGCTAAGTGTCTCGGCTGAAAATTGTAAAGATAGAAAGGTAAATCAAAAGATACAGAGACTGTAATCATGCACTTAATAAAGCGCTAAATCAAAATATATTTGGCATATGTGAAAGAGTTTAATTTTATCCCATTTTCTACTGGCACTATAGGTATTTGTAAGTACATATAAAACTACAGTGTTACATATAAACTACCAAAAAGGAACTTAAGAAACGAGACTAATCTAGCAACTTTATTTAAAAGTTTATCTTAAGGGAATAATTAAGGATGTCCATACAAAAGGATTTAGCCATGACACGAGAATGTTCTTCCTGGCAAATCAATGGAAATTATTAAATGTGCAAAAGGGAACTGTTGGAATAAATTCTAATGCCTTCATATGATCGTATGTCGTAACCTTTTAAAATGATATTAAAGAGTTGCATACATTGACTTAAACAGATATTCATAACACATCACTGAATAGGAGAAATACGGGCCAGCAAAGAACATAGAGTTGGTCCAATTTCTACAAAAAAAAGAAGACTAATAGCATGACAGCAGGGAAGGGGGAATATGTCAATGTATGTGTGTATATATATGTATGCATAGCAAGTATGAACTTGAAAGGATATATATCAAATTGTTTACACAGATTACCTCAGAGAGGTAAATAACTGGCCTTTGGTGTTCTGTGTTCCATAGATTCTGAATTTTCTTTTTTTATTTAAATAGAGATGGGATCTTAGCCAGGAGCAGTGGCTCACACCTGTAATCCCAGCACTTTGGGAGGCTGAGGAGGGCGGATTGCTTAAGGCCAGGAGTTGAAGACCAATCTGGCCAACATGGCAAAACTCTGTCTCTACTAAAAATCCAAAAATTAGCCAGGCGCAGTGGCTTATGCCTATAACCCCAGGTACTCGGGAGGCTGAGGCATAAGAATTGCTTGAACCAGGAGGCAGAGGTTGCAGTGAGCAGAGATTGCACCACTGCACTCCAGCTTAGGCAACAGACCGAGACTCTGTCAAAAAATAAAAACAAAACAAAACACCACCACCAACAACAAAACAGTAATAAAGAGAAAATCTTATGGACAGGAGCAATGTCTCATGCCTGTAACCCCAGTGCTTTGGGAGGCCAAGATGGGAGAATCGCTTGAGCCCAGGAGTTCAAGACCAGCATGGGCAACATAGCAAGACCTTTTCTCTACAAAAAATTTAAAAATTAGCCAGGCATAGTAGTGCATGCTTATACTCCCAGCTACCTGGGCGGCTGAGGTGGGAGGATCACTTGAGCATGAGAGTTGGAGGTTGCAGTGAACTGTGATCACACCACTGGGAAGCCATGACCCCATCCCTGCCTTCTTCCTCTGTCCTATGCTAGCAATAAGTAAGTTTCCCAGCCACAAATAATTATTAGAACCTCCTCCCCATGTGCCACCTCCAACCACCGCTAGGTATGATACAGGGGTGGCCCTACCCTCTGGAATATACAAAACCTTACACAGACACAATATATACACCGGGGAAGGGGGGCCACCCCAGCAGCCCATGCCTTCGCCTGGTCCACAGTTAGCCCCACTGTCCTGCCTCAGCTACCTCTCTGAATAAGAAGATTCGAGCCCCCACTGAGGGAAAAGTTGCTATGGTGAGAGTAAGGAGGCCATGAGGCCTCCTCCAAACAAACCAACTCCACCAGCCTCTGGCTCTTAAATAACAATATCATCCAGAAATTTAAGGACTCAGCTCTGGTCAAGGTGGCAAAGGGTCTGTTTGTCTTTCCTCGTTAGACAGTGGTCTTGTCTTGCTACCCTAATTGTAAAGGGGTGACTGGGAAGGGGAGATAGGGACAGTGTGGTGGTGGAGAGACCCCAGCCCCACTTCTCCAGGCTTTGCTGACAGGGGCCTGCTTTTAATTTTAATTTTTATTTTTATCCCATGCCTTTTTTTTTAAATCCCATAACTTCTTTTTCATAACTATTTTTGGTAACTTTTCATAAAACTTTTTTCTACTTTTTGGTCACAAGATTTTTTTGCCACAACTTTTTTACATTTTTTATCCCATAACTTTTTCACCCCATAACTTTTGTTAATCCCATAACTTTTTTATTTTGTGTTCTTTTAATAAACTCTTGCATAGTTATATTACAATTTTGTAAAAATGAAACATTATCTCATGCCAAGCATGCTCAGCATTTGCACAGTATCAATACCTTTAATACTATATTTTTCAAGACACACAGAATAAAATTTTAAGGCAAAAACAGCACTTTGCAACAACTTAATAATTTATTACATTACAGTAGCATCACACCAGCAGTCAATAATGCCACTTTAGGCAAAAGTCTTTCAGTATTTCCGTTTTACATTCCGCTTACAAGAATTCATAAATTGGTAAAATTCATTCTAAGAAAACTTGGCAAATAAAGCTTTGGACTGGAATTGGCATTTCTTTCTCTACTTTTCCTTCCCACCATTTATTTCCTTTACAGTATTCATATTTTAAAATGTTTTAACTTATTTCAGAACATTAAGATAGCAGTTACATTGTTTAATAGTTATTTTAAAATGACTCTTTCAGATAAAGTTTTAGAGAAACTATAGTATGGATAGGGCTGATTTACATTTTCAAATTTTCTAAAAATCAGCTTTGGTTTTAGAGCTGATTTTTGTTCATTTCTGGAAAACCTATCAGATTTAATCCAATACTTTAAAAATGATTATTATATATTGCACTCTTTAAATCGGTGATTTGATTCTTCCTACAGAAATTCAAATTTATTGAATTGAACTCACATTTTAGAATTCTGTTTCTGATGAACTCTAACCTTCCAATGTTGCCTTCTAAGCAAATTGAAAGCTGCCTTATACCGAATGAGGAAGAATACCAATACTTGGCTGAATGAGGTATCGCAAAAGACTGCATGCACTTTGAAGAAAGACTTAAGTTATAGTCATGCGATTTCCATTCTTTTTAGCTTTTTCTTAAATATATGACAAATATCTACACAAAGAGTGGTATTTCTGTTAATACAGTCAATTTATTTTCCAGATTGACATTCAGCTTAAATATGCCAGTATGTGATTTAATCCATAGGCACCTGATGAACACATTATTGTCAGATTGGTTACAGATGCTCGTAGTTGTCTTTAAACTGAACTCAAAGAATGCAAAAACATCAAGTTCAGAAAATAAAAGGCAAGGACAGGACTTTAAGTGCATTTTAAAGCCACGGGCTAGAAATCGTACCACTGTTAACTAGCCGCATTATTTGGTCTAACATTTTTTCTTTATCATTCTGAAACTGGGTTTATCTAATACATTGATACATTCATACAATTTGGAAGAGTCCGTTGAAGTCACAAGGACCCGATATTTGCACTCTTTCAGTGATTGCCGGCAAATCTGTTATTCCATCGGCAAAATCGTACTGCTGCTCTCCTGTTAATGTCGTATTTATAAAAGTATCATGAGGATGCCAAATGCTAAAAATGGAGATGGTCTAGTAACTAGAAATCCCCACCCCAGGGAGCACACATACATATCTCCCTACATCCTAATAATGTGATGTGTTTTGGAACACAGACATTAGAACTTCATGAAGTTTTAACTGTTGAGTCTTTCCCAAGCATCATCAAGTTATGATTTAGGCAATGTACAACTGAAATTCATTCATTCATCATGCATAGGCACAATCACATAAATACTGCACAAAATATGCCCGTAAGTGAAACCCAGAGGTACAGAAACACATTTCACTCTTCACAAAGAAGTTTGTGAGGAAATATAACTCTGTGATTGTATAGACATGTTTCCTGATAATACACTGACATTCACCAACAGTAGATTGCACTGCAGTTTGTACACATTTTAAGTTGCATAAACTTCTCCTTGATTTTCAAAGATAGTATAATACTGTCTACTAAAACTCCTTTTTGTTTCAACTAAGCACTCTCACATATATTAGTTTATAACAATGTTTATTATTATTTCAAAGTGTTTTCCATTCAAGGAAAAGAAGTCAATTCCTATGTCAAAGTAACCAAGGTGGTTGAAGAATAGGCAGAGTGGTCTAGATGGTAAAATCAATCTTCAAGCCTCAAAGAAGCTCCATGAACAGAGGAATGCCAGGTGTCACACAGCTTTCCTTCACTCTAATTCATTCTTGACTAGAGCCTGTATGCGTGTTCCAGGGACATTTAAACTCTTAAAGGATTTCTTCTGATCTTTACTAAATACATTAAGAAGAATGCCAACCAGTGCCCTTTTGTGTACTGGGACATGCAGTCATGTGATTAAAACAGGTAACATGAACTCTGACTTTAAAATATAGATACAAATGCTCTAAGCTAGGAAAGGTTTTCCACATCCATAGTCAATGATGGGAACCTTTCATTCCTCAGAAATAAGCCCTTTTTAGGTCATCAAAAAAGAGTACAACTGCTGCAGCTCATGATGCAATATCTTCATGAGCCCAGAGCACATACAAATCCTAAAGGAACTACAATAGTACAGCACTAATTCTTGGCAACAGAACAAATGAAACACACTCTATCTTGCACATACCTGCCAGAGCAGGCAACTTTCCTCTTCTGTGAAATTTAAAAAGCTCCCCCAAAATGTTATTACTCCCATCACCAATACACAGAAAATGAGGGAAAGGCTGTTTCCAGTTCTCGGCCTTTAAACAACTCTAAATGTCAGTACTCTTGGTGGCATATTACAAAGTATTAAATAGTGCACACTTGGGGCAAACCACATATTGTGCTAATGAAGAGCTCACTGTGATTAAGATTAGATCAAACAATAGCAGAACATAGGCAAATTTTATCTGAATTCTGTAATGAATATACATGCTTCAATAACATTAAAAACACATGGCAGCCTATTCCAAACCAGCAAGAATAGTTTTGTGCAAATAGTGGGTCTTTGTGTGTTTGAACTCCCACCACGTAAGGGCAAACTCAATATGCATGCTAATGACCTACAATCATGAAATTGAAAAAGAAAATTGCGAAAGTATGCCAGAGTGAACATCAGTGAAAGCCACAGAGACCCACTCTCTTTTAACTATTTACAAATAAACTTAAACTATAAATTAGAAACACAAATAATCATAAGTGGCTATAACATTCAAACGAAGTAAATGAATTGTGTAGGAGATTAACCCCATAACTTTGTTTCTTTTTTAAAAATTTCTTGAGCAGGTCTTTGACGATGGTCATGTTTATCTCCTTCTTCTTGGCAGCCAAGCCCAGCAAAAGAATGGCACACAGCAGTTGCTGCCCAAGCCTGGGTGCTCCTGGTGGTCCTGCACGATCGGCTGTGCAGTAGGGTTGTCGTGGGGAGAACCCTCCCTGGCCTCTCCTTGCACAGGCTCCACGCTGTCAGTGAGGCTCACCTCACAAAGATCTTTGGAGAGAGGGAGGCGGGGATCTGAGCTCAGTGAGAGCCCCCCTGCTCCTGCCTGCCCACCCCGCCTGAGGGCTCTACTCACCACCATGCTTGTGGGCAGCCCCAAGCTCCTGGGGGGCTGGGGCTCCTGGACTGGGCTCATGAGCAGGGTTCTGGGCAGTCACCAAGAATTTGCTGTGTCCCTTGTAGTCGCCACCAGCTGCAACACCATCTCCTGCAGCTCCAGCAGCTTCACCTGGAGGGAGGGGTGCTCAGCTGTCACGCTGCTGCCAGCGCTCACCGTCACAGCCACCCCCACCCCCGCAGAGATGTTGCACACTCTACCTTCATCTCCTCCCTGTCCAGGGCCAGCCTGATGGTGTCCTCCTCCCGGTGCTGCATCTTTGGCACTGCCCCCTGGCTTTGTTATAGGGTGATAAACTTTCCTGCGGGAGGACAGGGCTCAGACGCTGGGGCCCCTCCAACAGCCCTGCAGCTCCCCCTGCCACGCCCTGGCCTCCCACTCACTGATGGCATCTCTCTCTGTAGTACTGGAAGAATCCAAGTTCTTCTTTCTCCACCAGCTCACTCAGGTCTGCCTTCTCCTCCAGGTGGTCCATAAAGCCGCTCTGGAGCCAAAATAATGGGGTCACATCTCGGCAGCGACCTGCCCTCAGGTGGCATTTTCAAGTCATGGAGAAGGCGGAGGTGAGTTCCGGCATGGGCCAGCTTCTCCATGACTTCCTGCAGGGCCCGGTGGGTCTCCCCACTCACAGACTCGCCCCCAGGCCCTGGGGCTGGGACCGCTGCCTCTGGCTCCTTCTGGGCCGAGGCCACCGGGTGAGCCAGGCGCTGGCAGCACACCCTCTGCTCTTTCACCTGCTCTTGTAACTGTGCCTGCTTCTCCTGGGCACTAGCTCCAGCGGACTTGAAAAATGCCACCTGAGGGCAAGATGTGAGCATTCTTCTAGGGGCATACACAGAAGAAATGGGGCAGAGAGGTGGAGCGCAGCCCCTTCCCTTGGGGCCTCAGAGAGTGCACCTGTTGGCCACAGGTGAAATGGTGTCTGACCACTGGCTCTCGGAAGGGGTGAGGGTCCAGAGAAATCAGAAGGCAGGGAAACGAAGAGCATAAAGGGGTCTTGGAGGGACCACAGAGAAAGGTGGCAAAATGGGTGCAGGGGGAGTCAGGCTCACCATGGCCTCCCTGCTCTCCAGGTCCTCTGGGACACTCGGCATGGGCCGAGGTGCCTCCTCCCCCTCACTGTCCAGATGTTCTCCTCCGTGTCCTGTTGGGGGTGGCCAGAGGGGTCTTCAGACAACTCAACAAGGGAAGTATTGTGGGCCCACCTCTGCCTCCACCCTCATTGTGTAACCCTGAGCCAGGCCCTCCCCAGAGAGGAATGAGCTGCTGTTATTTATTTTTACTTTGAAGAACCAAGATCTTGCTATACTGCCCAGGCACATTCCCACTACTGGTCGGTGTGGGAGTTCTGACCTGCTCCCTTTCTGACCTCGGCCAGTTCAGCCATCCTTAGGCAACTTGGTGGCCCCCCGCTCCCAGGAGGTCACCATATTGATGCTGAACTTAGTGCAGGCACCCGGTTAGTATAATGACCAGCTGTTCTAAAGGTCTCTTCCAACTCCTCAATCCTATGCTGCTAGCAGTCCCCCCTTCCTCCTGGGGCTCTCTCCTCTTCCTCTAAGCGGTCTCCCGTACCTTCCCCAGGGAGAGCCATGAGGCTCAGCTGGGCCGTTAGCTGCTGTTTCTGCTGGCTGGCAGCTTCCAGGCGCTCCTAAGGGGCCAGGAAAGAGTGAGAAGGCACAGAGTTTGTCAGGTCGTCCCCCTCACGGCCCCATCCTCGGCAGCTCCCTCCCCTGGGCCTCCTGCAACTTTTGGCAGGCCATCTCGGCCACCGCTTTGCCCCAAGCTTCCTGCTGCTGCAGCTGGTTCATTAGCTGGGTCTGCTGCAGTCACTGCCTGTACAGCGCCTCCTTCTCACAGGTCAGCTGCTGATAGGCGGCCACCTGCTGCTGATAGGTGGCCACGTACTGCTGCAGGTGACCCAGGTAATGGTCTGGCTGCTGCTGCAGACTCTGAGCCTCTTGGCTCTTCAGCTCCACCTGCAGGAAGACCCTGGGTGTGAGGGCACGTGGTGGCTGGTTTCCAGATTCTGGGCCCATTAATAGGGTAGCGAGGGCACTGTGGGGCTCTGTCGCCTGCCCAGGCCCCTGGCCCCTTACTCCAGGCCTAAGTGACTGCCTCCCTTTCCTAGAACCCCATGCCTCCTTCCCCAGCCTCAAATCTCATGTCCTCTTCCCACCATTTCAACTGTAGGCCACAGAATGGTAGAAAAGTAGTGGGAGCCAACCACCATCTGCTAAATGTGCTACAGGCCTAATGCTTCCCATGTATTATCTCATTTAATCCTCAGCACCTCTGTAAGGAAAATGCTAACTTCCTTTTGAAGTTAAAGAAACAGAGACTTAGAGATGTGAAGTACTTGAATGGTGACCAGTGGAACTGAGGCTGGAATCCAGTTTTAATCTAAGGAGTCTTTTTGTTTTGTTTTGAGACAGAGTGTCACTCTGTGGCCCAGGCCGGAGTGCAGTGGTGCAATCTCAGCTCACTGCAACCTCCACCTCCTGGGCTCAAGCAATTCTCGTGCCTCAGCCTCCTGAGTAGGTGGGATTACAGGCATGCGCCACCACCATGCCCCACTAATTTTTCTTCCTTTTTTTGTTTTTTGTTTTTGTAATTTTAGTAGAGATGAGGTTTTACCATGTTGGCCAGGCTGATCTCAAACTCCAAACCTCAAGTGATTCTCCTGCCTCAGCCTCCCAAAGTGTTGGCACTATAGGCGTAAGCCACCGCGTCTGGCATAAGAAGACTGTTATACCACTCTGTCTCTTCCCCTGTGATTGGCGGTGCTCCATGTCTCTAGCTGGAATGATGATGTCCAGACCTGGGAGGAGCCCAGGGCTACCCACCTCTAAAATCAGAGGGCAGGAAGCAAGAAACAGCCACAGGACTGCCCTGGAGGGTGCTGGGGTCACCTGCCCCCGGGCTGGAGCTGCCTCTGGCCTGGCACCTCCCCTCCCCAGAGGCTGGTGCCCACCTCCCAGACCTTCTTGGATGGGGTGGAGGTTACCGTCTCCTTCACCTTGCCTAGCTTCTCCTGCAGCTCCTTTACTTGCTGCTCCAACTGTAGTACGCTCTTGTTCTCATTGTTCTGGACAGAGAGAAGCAATCAGCAGCCACCCACTGCAGCTGGAGACCCCAGAACTTGGTGACTGCCTCCCATGGCACCGGGAAGGGTGGAGGCAGGTTAGAAAAATCATCCCCTGTCTCCCACAGCCACCAGAGCAGGGCTCTGGCTCACAGGTGCCTTTAGGAGTAACATTTCACTTGAGGGCTACACTGCCACATTTTATAGGTGGGGAAACAAAGGCCTGGAGGGCTAGGGAGGAGGGCAGGCTCCCCAGCTGGGGCAACGCACCAGCTCCTTGAAGCTGTTCTGTGGCTCGGCCAGCTGCTGAAGCCTCTCCTCCTGCTCCCGAAGCCTCTCCTGCTGCTCCTGAAGCCTCTCCTCCTGCTCCCGAAGTCTCTCCTTTTGCCCCTCATTCAGGAGACTTATGCGCTGATTGTACTCCACCTGGGCCTGGAGCGCTCCTGCCACTCTCTCTAGTTCCTTCCTCAGGTGCTGCAGCTCCACCTCAGAGGGCACTGCTGGGGGCTCCGGGGGCAAGGGTTCAGCTGAGAAAGGAAGCAGATAATAAGGGCCTCTGGATTCTCGGAAAAGAAAAACCCTCCTCTTGGCGCACAGCTCCTCTCAGGCTCCTCAAACTTGGCCTCACTGCTAATGATTCCTCGCACCCAGATGGTAGCCAGTCTTCCAAACCACTTTCAGAGAAAGAGCACTGCGGGTGGCTGACAACGGGCCCTCTTTGCTGATGGGGACACTGAGGCTCATTGAGATGACAAGACTTGCCGTCTCCTGGAACAGACCTCTTTCCCTCTGCCTCAAAGCCCTTCCCATCCACCCACCTCGCTGGGGCACTCCAAGCCACCCTCACAGCCCTCTGATGCCAGTCCTGCTGTCAGGTCACGCCAGCCCCATCTTACCCATCTGGTGTTTGAGTTTGGACAAGCTCCTCTCCAGCGTCTCTACCCGATATTTATCATGCTTCTTCTCCTTCTTCAACGAGCAAACCTGCCCAAAGCACAGGGGGAAAGGGCCCTGGAGAGAGGGGCTGGAGGCTGGACATGCTACCATCTCCCTCTCTGCCCCCACCTCCACAAAGCCCAGTCCCAGGACCACCTCTGGCTCTACTATTCCCATTTTACAGGTGCCCAGAAAGATCCAGTGACCTATCTAATGTGGGGGGGCTGAAGGGTCAGATCTCACCTCCTGCGACATTTTTCTCATCCTCTGCTGCCACCGGGCCCTCTCTCCTTTTAGATGTTCAGCATATTCATCCCTCTCTAGCTGGACTTCTTTAAGTGACTCCTTCAACTGCAAGAATGGGCACAGAAATTAGGAAGGGCTGTCACTGGTCCTCACCTGCTCCTGGTTACCTGGGGTCATCTTCCTTCCACATCCCTCCCTCTGAACACCTCACCTGTGTCAGCTGCGCTTTCAGCAGTGCCTGCTCCCGCATGGACTGCTCTAACTTCCACTCCATACGTGCTTTACTGCGGCTGGAGAACTGCTGAAGAGTGAGAAGTTTCAATCTGGGGAGGCCGGGCCATTCCACACAGTGCCCCTTAAAAGGGCCAGGGCTAGGCCCAATATACAACTCGGTCAGTAAAGATCAAGGCATTTCCAAGCCCGTGGTTTGGTTTTTAAAGAACTCAGTAAAGTTGGAAGGGACAGGGAAAGAGATCGAATTTATAGCTGGCTAACAGAGGCCCAGAGAGATCAGATAATATTGCTATTGTTATTACTGTTATTATTACCACTGTTTGAACTTTTATGGAGTGCTTCACCAGATACCATGCTAGCAATCCCATTTAATCCTCGCAACCACCATGGGAGACAGTTACTATGATGACCTCTATTGTGTAGATGAAAAAACATGGAGTATTTGAGGTTAAGTGCTTGCCTAAGATCACTTAGGCAGAGCTGGGATTTAAACACCCAGATCTATCCAATTCTCTAAGCCCATTTTTCTTGCTGGGGGTGGGGGCACAGCTAGGAAGGGGAAAATTAATCTTTTGTTCACTTTTTGAAAGGATAATACATTCACATAGTCCCAAACTCAGAAGGTACAGAAGGGAAGTATCTCCCAGCCACCCTGTTGCTCTCTCCTGAGTTTTTATGAACACTTGCAAACATATTTTATGTATATTATCATAATATGTACACACACACACACGTTTCCTCTCTCTACAGAAATGGTAACATACTAAAGGTACTCTTCTGTACCTTCACAGTACAAGTAGCCAATACCCCACTTAGGACTTGGCCAAGACCACAGCCAGGTAAAGGCATGGCAGGCACTTGGCCTCCAAGCTCTACGTCCTGTGTTCTCTCCCCAGAGTGCCCCCCAACTCACCCACAGCAGCTGACTCAGTCCCAAGCTGCCGCTAACAACCATACAAAAAAGCAGTGAGAAATGGCCATGCTGCCTTCTGGGCAGGACACTCCATCCTGCAGAAGGGACCTTTAGGCTCACTCCTCTGTCTGCGAAGCCAGGCTCCCAGGGGACGGGGCAGGTGGTTGGACTCACCCTCTCCGCCTTCTTCTTCTGTGTGGCGGTGACAGCAGAGAGAGCCCGCTCTAACTCTCCTTTACGCTGCAATGAATGTTGCAGACGGACGGCCAGATCCTTGGACTCTTCTGTAATGAGAGAGTTGAGATGGGGCCCAAAGGACTCCCCCTGAAGACCTGTCAAAGTCCCAGGTTGAAGGATGACAGGGTACCCAGATTCCCACCTTCAAAGTATCTGAGAGAACGTTTCGTGTGGTACAGGTCCGTATTTAGTTTCCCTTTCTGTATGTTCAATCTCTGGATTTGAACCTTTGGGAGAAAAGCCAAGCAAGTGCTGAAAGAGAAGGAAAGAAACATTCTCCGGAGGACAGGAGAAAACTGCACACCGTCCACTCACCTCTAGCTCCCTTTCGGCTTTCTGTTTCTCGTTGTTTGCTTTCTTTTCCTGTAGGAAGAGGAAGACAGAGATCTAACCAGGCAGAGGCAGAGATGGTACTGCAAGAGACATGTCCCCAGAATGCCACCACTGCCCCTGCCCCGGGACAGGCCCACCCATGGGACCGGGTTATCAGAGACCCTGTGGGGGATGGGGTGGACTCTGGGGGGTTAGCCTTCTTCCCCAGGCTGGGAGTGGGTGAGACGAGACTCGGGGCCTCTACATCTGAGTGTCCCCCAAACCGAGCAGTCATGTCGCGAGCAAACAAAGAAATCATGTTACTTCTTCCAGCTGATGTACCACTTGTTTCTTCTGTTGTTTCTGTGGGGAGAGTCACATTAAGGTGATGGAGGGTGGCCCCCTCAACTCTATTCCCCAGAGCAGGAAGTGGTAGGCAGGGACCAGGAATGGATTTTAAAGGCAAAGTTCTCAGACCCAGTGGGAACTCGAACTGGTAAACTCTCCTCAAGCTCCCAAGGACAGAGGATTTGGGTCTTTGTTGGCTTTTGCCCACAGCCACAGAACTCAAGGTCTGAATCTGGAATCTCTTGACAGGACAGTAACATAAACCTCTAGAGATGGAGTTTGAGAAAGGCCCCCCCTTCTGCCAGCTTGTGATTTAGAAAAGTGCATTCATTCAATAAACATTTACTGAGCACGTACGGGCCAAGTACGGTTCTTCACAGCAGATTTAGGGCGGAAAAGGACAGACAGGAGCCTTTGGCCCTGAGGTTTCCATTCTAGGAGGCCTTTAAATCTCAGACTCTCAGAGCTAACAGAGACCTATGATACTCACTACTTCCTCTGGAAACACGAGCCCAAAAAGGAGAGGTGGCTTGTCCAGAATCAAAGAGCAAATTAGGGACTGAGTCATGGCAGAAATACAGGGCCCCTGACAACCAGTCAGGCTAGCACTTCCCCAAGAGGCAACAATCCCAGGGCGTGTGTAGCAAGGACTCGAGCAGGGGCGTCTGGAGAGGGGAGAGTCAGCAAACAGGGCAGCAAAAAAAGAGCCATGCTGCATGCTCCGGGGTCCCTCCAGGTGAGGCCTGGGTGCCCCAGCTCCCTATTCGCCCTTGGCACCAGGGGCCCCTGTCCCCTTTCTTCAGGGCCCCAAGGAGAAACTAGAGCCCAGGATTGGCAGCGTGGAATCAGGGGACCCCAGTGGACTCTTACCAAAGATTTGATGGTGTTCTTCAGTTGACTGACTTTTACAGACCTCGAGTCTGGGACTACTGCTAGTTCTTGGCACGGGCTCTGAGGCGCATGCAGAGAGGAGGAGGTGGAGGAGGAGTGGGGGGAGAGGTAGAGAGAGCAATCATTAGGGCTGGGGTGTGTGTGGACTGTCTCAGCTGGCAGAGGGGCACCCCGTCCCACCTGGAGGAGGAGGTTGGAGGGCTGCCCTGCAGGGTCACTGCACCTCTGCCCAGAGCCTCTTACCTCCAGATCCTTCAGGGTAGCAGATGATGTAGGGCTCTCCCCGTGGATACCTGTTGCTGACTACAAGAGATGAGAGTGCACATGAAGATGTTCTGTCCCACTCAGTATCTAAGCCCTCTGACTTCTTTTCTTCCCCATCAACTGGCACAATTTTCTTTTCTGCCTATCTTGGACCCTTTGTCCCATAACTCCTTTGTGCCAACTTCTCTCATGGTTCTTATCTCCCCACCACAGCACCCTGCGGCCCTTTCAGTGACTCCTGTGCCAAGTGACTGTTCTCATTGTCCTGGCTTCCCCTTGAGACTGGGGATGAGGAAAATCGAACAGCAATGACCATATCCTGGGTGTTCTGGGTGTTTACAGCAGGCCATGTACTAGGGATTAACATAAAAACAACAATAACAGATCTCATTTAAACTTCACAAATGGAAGTGAAACAATACCACCTCTATTATACAGATGTGAAAAGAGAGGCCCGATGAGGTCAAGCAACTTGCCCTAATTCATATCCCTAGCAGACAAAGAGGCAGGATTCAAACCCAGAATTCTTCACAGGTACCCAACAGTCCATCCACAATCTTAACAATTACCCTCTAGTGCCCCTTGGGTCCCCTGTCCCCAGGAACCTAGTCAGCCAAGACTCACATCTCCAGGTGAGTGGCAACCACCAGAAGTGGCTGTCTCATGGATGCTGCCATTTGTTTTCCTGTTCCTCTTGGCTCCTGCTGGAACACCAGGGCTGTTTCTCTGCCAATATTCTTTTAACTGTCAGAAACAAGAGCAGTAATACTCATGAGAACTATCAGCCCCTGCAGCCACATCCTCCTTTACAGTTTTTATAAAATACTCTTATACGCCATCTGATTTAATGATACCAACAACTGTACAAGGTGTTGTCACAATCATTTAGTGACTCAAAGAGATTGATATCATGGCTAGAAAAAAAAAGAAGAAAAGAAAAAGGCGACAGACGAACTTTGAAACTCAGTCTTCTGACTCCAAACTCTGGGGTATTACCAAGAATCATCAGCTGCCAGGGACCAAAACCAGAGGCAGAGCTAGAAAAGTAAACATTAAGTTGGCAGGAACTGTATGCCATGTGGTTTAGAGTCATACATCCTCACACGTCTGTTAGTGTGAAGAAGTGCACCAGTACCTCTCAAACTCTTATATCAATGTATCCTCATGGCAGAAGGCAGCCTTTCTGTTAAATCTGGGAATTTATCAGAAAGAGGACAACCCAAGCCTCATTTCAGAGAGAGGTCTGGTATACTCTTAGAAACCTATGTGACTGTCATCCCTAAGTACATTAATGTTTTTTCTCTTGATCTCAAGAGAATCAATGGAAACTGATGCTTCAGAAAGATGTCCCATATGTATCCTGTGGCACTCAAAGTACCCCAGGTTTACATAATATGAGGAAGATTCAAGCTGTCAAGTTCAGTTTCCCAAGATCTATTCCACAGAAGATGAGCAAATCTCACTTCACAGACCACTGACTGAAGGGCAGTCTGGTCCCAGAACCATGGAGAATTAGAATGTGAGGTGGAGAACTCACAAAAAATTTGTTAAAATCTCTCTGGAAAGTAGAAGCCTGGGAGAAAACCAAACCAAGTCAAACCCATTCTCCAGTTGCCATCCAGAGGTACTGTCAATGTTTTGAGCTCACAGGGGAAGTGTAGGCTTTTCCCGCTGTCAATGTTTATGTTAAGGGAGTGAGGCAGCCTGAAACCTCTTGCTCCTAGGTCCCAATCTCCATTCCCCTTCCAGCTGGAAATTTGTGCTGTGACAAGAGGAACCAGAAATGGGGTGGCAATGCTTAGGGGACTGGGTCATAAGATCAAAGGCCAGTCTTGCAGTAATGACAGTTACTGGATGGACCGTGACATCACTACATTCCACTCTTCCTGGTGAGGGGGAGGGACCACATCAGCATGATGTCCGAGTCACCGCTCCATGATAGGGGAGGGAAAAACAGAGCTGGGACCCAGGTCCTTGGAGACGCCAGTGCACACAGCCTAGGGAGGTCCACCTTGAGGCAGCAGGAGGGAAGGGAAGAGTCAGCAGCAGGGAGCCCCAGGATTCACCAGCCTAAAGTCACCCAGGGATGACTGGTGAGGGTGGGGTCTGGGGCTGTGGGACCCAGGTCCTTGGAGATGTGAGCCCAAAAAGCCCTGGGAGGTCAAGCTTGGGGTGGCAGGAGATGAGGGCCCAGTAAAGGAGCGGGGAGCCCCAGGATTCACCTGCCCAAAGTCACCCTGGGGTGATTGGTGAGGGCAGAGACTGGGCTGCTTGCTGAAGGGGTGGGGCTGACTGGCAAAACTTTGGTGGGGGTAGCCCAGAGGCACCGGTGTGGGGGTCCCAGTCCGGTGAACCTCGGGATTGGTATGGACTCTGGCAGCAGTCTTGTCGTTGGAGAGGATCTATGGCTGGGTTGGGGGTCCGTGACCTGGTGTGTTTTTACCTTTCTCTTGGCTGCTGCCAATTTACTTTGTCGAGTTTCTTCTGCCATCGCAGGGTGGGGAGGGAGGCGGGCTTGGGGCCACATCAGCAAAATCCCACCAAGCACTGATCAACACCTCCAGTCACCTACCAGGTAGCTGTGCGACTGAGCCAGAGGAGGCGTAACCAGGGATGCAGTAGAAGGCAGAATAGGGGCGTGGCCTTAATGCTCCAAGCCCATTGGTTAATGAGAAAGATGAAAGGGAAAGGGGGCGTGGCCAGGCATCATGTGTCCAGAGGGACCTTTGGCTCACAAGGAAAGCTGCCCATGCAACCACTGTCCCCACCCACCCTAAGAGAGGGGAGAGGCCGCCAACTCTGGGAGAGGGGCAGGGCCGGCTTTTGCTTTAAAAGCTTTTAAAAAATATATATGTGTATACTTTATATATATGTGTGTCTGTGTGTGTGTACCTGTGTGTTCCTCCAGAGCTGTCTTCATGATCCAGCTTCTATGCAAGGTCTATGATTTTGGCCTATATTTTTCATAGAGTACAAAAATTACCAGTATTACCTTAACCGAGATACAGATCCTATGAAAATGGAAAATCCATAGCATGCTTGATGATTACTGAAGCAGACTATATTATCCAACATTCCAATAAGATAAAATAATCACAATGACTTCTCTTTTTTGGAAAAATGTTTCTCTTATTCTCCTACGTTATTGTGAAGACTTTTTTTCTTAAACAAGAAACGTGTAATATTTGTAAAAACACAAAGCTTTTGGGCCGGGTGCAGTGGCTTATGCGTATAATTCCAGCACTTTAGGAGCCTGAGGCTGGTGGATCATGAGGTCAGGAGATTGAGACCATCCTGACTAAAAAGGTGAAACCACATCTCTACTAAAAATACAAAAAATTAGCCAGGCGTGGTGGTGGGTGCCTGTAGTCCCAGCTACTTGGGAAGCTGAGGCAGGAGAATGGCGTGAACCCAGGAGGTGGAGCTTGCAGTGAGCTCAGATCGTGCCACTGCACTCGAGCCTGGGCTACAGAGCGAGACTCCTTCTCAAAATAAATAAATAAATAAATAAATAAAACTTCTATTTCTTTCACTTTCTAATATAATTTTAATATCTCCTCCTGGGATTTCACTAAGACACATTTTGGACCTCATTCTGATCTTCCTCTCCCCTCCAAGCCCACCAACTTCTGCCCTATCATCTATCCTCATGTCTCTCTGTGTGACATGCTGACTTACTTTTTGGAGAGAATCGTCTAAACAATTAATTCTTTCTTCTCGTGTCTAATCCATCCACTAGTTTCTTATTTCAACAATTACATTTTTATTTCCTTATTTCATTTTATTCTGAGACTGAGTCTCATTCTGTCACACAGGCTGAATTGCAGTGGTACGAACCTGCAGACTCGGCCTCCTGGGCTCAAGTGATCCTCCCACCTCAGCCTCTTGAGTAGCTGGGACTATAGGCAGGTGCCCCATACCCAGCTAATACCATACCCACACAGCAGAGACATAAAAGATTTCCATCCTCAAAGAAGGTTCCATTGAACAGCACTGCTCTAATTCAATAAAAAATACCACTGAGCACAACATAGTAATAGAAAAGATTGAAGAGGCAGTGCTGATACTTAAAAACCTGGTATTTTCAGCCAGGCATGGTGGCTCATGCCTGTAATCCTGGCACTTTGGGAGGCTGAGGTGGGAAGATCGCTTAAGCCCAGGAGTTCTAGACCAGCCTGGGCAACATGGTGAAACCCTGTCTCTACAAAAAATACAAAAAATTAGCTGGGCATGGTGGCATGTGCCTGTAGTCCCAGCTACTTGGGAGGCTGAGGTGGGAGATCACCCGAGCCTGGGAGGTCAAGGCTGCAATGAGGTGAGATGGCACCACCACACTCCAGCCTGGGTGACAGAGTGAGACCCTGTCTCAAAAACAAAAAACAAAAAACAAAACAAAAACACCTGATATTTATTTTTAAGTACACTATTTTCAAACATTCAGAAGTTATTTCATCCTACCTTCATGGTTTCCATTCTATGCCTGGTTTAGAATTGGGATCTGATAAAATAAACGTGTTCAACAGAACCACTTCTCATGGCTGTATAACAGATGATCAATATGTATTTGCTGAGGAAATCATACAATTTTCTTAATTTTTTTTAACAAAAATTGTGCTTTCAAGGGACCAAACTTGAATACTACACCTTCATGTTCTAAGAATCAGGGGACTTATATAAAACCTCAGTTGCCTGATAAGGACTACATCAAAGTGAAAAGCCATGGGAAAGAACTAGAAAGTATACTTTTGACCCTAGTTCTGTAAAGTTTCCTTATGCCACAGGTAATACACATCGCAATTCCTGCCAAATTCTTTCCCTCACCTCTGTTTATGGTCTCGATTCCATAAA
Source organism: Homo sapiens (assembly GCF_000001405.40). Taxonomy (NCBI): domain Eukaryota; kingdom Metazoa; phylum Chordata; class Mammalia; order Primates; family Hominidae; genus Homo; species Homo sapiens. The sequence continues at coordinate 22,440,260 of NC_000015.10, forward strand.
TAGGAGAAGGGCATGAATTTGCTTTAGTTAGATAGACAGATAGATGGATAGATAGATAGATGGATGGATGGATGGATGGATAGATAGATAGACAGAGATAAAGATAGAGACAAAGATGGAGACAGAGATGGACATAGAGACAGATTTGCAGAAGATAAGTTCTAGGTGAACTAGTGTCAACATTAAAGTGGTATGCCTACATCTAACTATTCTGGAGAGAAAAACATACCTCAAAGAAATTGACTTAAATATATACAGAGAAAAAGTTTAAGCTGAAAGCTACTGCCTTTTTATATGAGACACTTTAGGAAATTACTTGGGGGGCAAGAGAGAAAATGGGTGGACATAGCTCAGAGGTTACACAGTAGCAGATATGTAGGATGAACAAGCCTAGAAATATAATGTACAACGCAAGAAATATAGGTAATAAAATTGTGCTGTATTGGGATTCACGCTAAATGAGATTTTAAGCTCCTCTTGCCACCAAACAAAAAGAAAACGGGTAACTATCTGAGTTGAAGGATACGTTAATTTGCTTCACTGTAGTAATTTTTTTAACCATCTATATGCATCCCACAAAATCATGTTGTATACCTTAAATACACAGAATACAATTTATTTAACATAAAAAACTACTCCAATATTTTCTGCATTTTTAATATGCTCACCCAAAGAAAGCATTAATTTGCATCTTTGATGTTAAACAGATAGCCTAATCAAGTCACTATCAAGATCAAGACTAAAAGTTACAGCTTTTTTCTTTTGATGCCTTTCAGATATATCTATTTATATATAAAAATATATATACACACACACATACATACACACACACATATATATGTAGTTATGTGTGTGTGTATATATAGTTACAGTTTTGGCCAGGTGCAATGGCTGACACCTGTAATCTCAGCACTTTGGGAGACCAAGGCTGAAGGCTTGCTTGAGGCCAGGAGTTTGAGACCAGCCTGGGCAACGAAGCAAGACCCTATCTCTACAATTTTTTTTTTTTTAACAAAATTAGCCAGGGATGATGGCATGCACTTGTAGTCCCAGATACTTGGGAGGCTGAGGCGGAGGATCCCTTGAGCCCAGGAGTTCAAAGCTGCAATGGGCTGTTACTGTGCCACTGGATCCCAGTCTGAGCAACAGAGCAAGACTTTGTCTCAAAAACAAAATTTATAATTAAAGATAAATAGTTATAGTTTTATGAACCTTGACTGCAACTGAGGGAAAATCCCGTAATTGGCAAAATGAATTCTGCCTGCTTGCAAAACTTCTGACTAATACGGAATGAATAATAGGAAGCCCATATTAGAGGATCCACATCAGTTAAAAAGTTTCCAAATAAGAGTGACTCTGAGTTCTGCAGAGTGAAAAGATTGGGTTCAAACCAAACACTTGCAAGATCTTGAGTAAGATACTTAATCCCTCTGTGACTCACTGTTCTCAAATGTAAGTGAAGATAATTTGTAACTCAAAAAAAATGAAAAAGTTTTCTCTAAGATTGTAAATCCTAAGGATAATTTCATTTTAATATCAGTTATTTAGTCTGGATACACCATAATGCAGACTAATTTTCCCTCTGCTTAAAGACCACACAAAAACATTACCAATAAAATTTACTTGTGTATCAACTTTTACTCCTGAGACTTCATCGTTTGTTTGGTTAAAAAAAAAAAAAAAAAAGCGCACTAGACCGGGCACAGTGGCCCATGTCTGTGATCTCACTTGCGGAGGCCAAGGCAGGTGGATGAGTTTGAGAACAACCTGGGCAACATGGAAAAACCCCGTCTCTACAAAAAAAATATATAAAAATTAGTCAGGTGTGGTGGCACATAACTGTGGTCCCAGCTACTCCAGAGAGTGAGGCGGGAGGATTGCTTGAGCCCACGCAGAGGTTGCAGTGAACCAAGATGGCACCACTGCACTCCAGCCTGGGTGACAGAGCAAGACCCTGTCTCAAAAAAAAAAAAAAAAATCACTATAAAATTGAAATTCACAACAAAATGTGCATACTTAACCTTCTTTTTATTTATTTATTTATTTATTTTTAATATTTTGAGACAACATCTTGCTATGTTGCCTAGGCTGGTCTTGAACTCCTGGGTTCAAACCATCCTCCAGTCTTGACTTCCCAAAGTACTGGGACTACAGGTGTGAGCCACCAGCCCCGCCAGCCCTGTTACACTATTCTTGGCCCCTCAAGTGACTGTATGAATTTTAGGATCAGCCTCTCGAGTTCCACAAAAAAATTCTATTGGGATTTGTGTAGGAATTTCTTGAATTTATAGATTAATTTGTTGAGAAGTAGTATGTTTATAGCATTGAGTCCTACGATTCATAATATATATGGCATATATTTCAGTTTAGTCAGTTCTTCCTTTAAGTCCCTGGGTAATTTTTATATTTGTCTTAGTCCCTTCATAGTGCTATAACAAAACACCTGAGACTGGGTAATTTACACAGAGCAGAAGTTTATTTTCTCAGTTCTGGAGGTTGGGAAGAACAAGATCAAGACTCCAGCAGACACAGTGTCTAGTGAGGGCCTGGTCTCTGCTTCCAAGATGGTACGTTGAATGCTGCTTCCTCTGGAGCAGGCAAATGCTATGTTCTCATGAGGCAGAAGGGACAGATTTACCACCACCCACAAGCCCTTTTATAAGGAAGGCACTAATCTCATGCATGAGGGCTCACCCTTATGTCTTAATCACTTCTTAAAGGCCCCACTTCTTAGTACTATCATCTTGGGAATTAAGTTTTAATACATGAATTTTGGGAGACACATTCAGGCTATGGCAATACTCTTCATGAAAGGCCTGTGTATACTTTGCTAGATATATTCTCAGGGTTTTGTTGCTATTGTGAATAGAATCTCTTTTTTTTTTTTTTTTTCTTTTTTTGCCACGGAGTCTGGCTCCTTTGCCCAGGCTGGAGTGCAGTGGCGCGATCTCGGCTCACTGCAAGCTCTGCCCCTCCAGGTTTAAGCAGCCTGTTGCCCAGGCTGGAATGCAGTAGCATAGTCATAGTTCAATACAGCCTCAAACTCCTGGGCCCAAATGATTCTCTAAGCTAATATTTTTAATTTTTTAGAGATGGAGTTTCATTCAAGGATCACTAAAGGCCAGTGATCCTCCCGCCTCAGCTTCTGAAATTGCTGGGATTACAGGTGTGATTGAGCCATGGAGCCTGGCCAGACATGGGCTATTGATTCTCGCTGTTACTCTTTTCCCTTTCCTTCTAATCCTTGTATTGGGAAGAAAACAGTATGGAAATTTTATTTCTTCATTTTATTGATACGTAGATCTCTGCTTAGAAGACAATTTTAGTTTTAAATTATAAATGTTTCGTTCATTATTCATAGAAAACTAGATTTGCCATGGGATATTTATAAGTGTTGCACGAATGAAGGGTTTTCTAGTCAAATAAGTTGAAACACATTACGTTAAACAAACTTGGACAGTTTTGTTTCCGGTCATTTTTAGAGTTCTAAATTATGATTCTACTCAAGAGGATATTGTATGCGGTATTTTCAAACCAACTCATCCTGCGTCAGGTTGTGGTTACGCTTTGGGAGAGGAAGCTATAATCTTATACTGAGACTGTAATGAATGTATTAAGGTAATTTTCGTAGCTTTCTCTTTTTGGAGCTACCTGAGAAATTATGACACCCTTTTCCAAACAGGCCAACCTGCTTTGCAAACACGATTTCCATAATTTTAACAATGGTGAGGCCAGGCACGGTGGCTCATACCTGTAATTCCTTCCAGCACTTTGGGAAGCCTAGGCAGGAGGATCACTTAAGCCAGGAGTTCAATACCAGCCTGGGCAACATGGCAAAAACTCATCTCTACAAAAAATACACATATTAGCCAGGCGTGGTGGCACACACCTATAGTCTCAGCTACTCAGAGGTTGAGGTGGGAAAATTGCTCCAGCTCAGGAGCTCGAGGCTGCAGTGAACAGTGATCACGCCACTGCACTCCAGCCTGGGTGACAGAGCAAGACCCTGTCTCAAAAACAAACAAAACAAAACACAAACCAAGGGTGAGAGAGATGTTAGATGTTTTTGTCCTTGTTACAGATGTAAATGCTCAGTTGGAAAGAGGGAAGTATTTAGAGTGAAAAAGTTTCGGTGGAACACACACAAAAATAGGAAGATCAGGTATAACTGTTCCAAAAAAAAGAGTATGGCAGTATAGAAGAAAAGGTCTCCATGAAAATGCAGAAGAACAATTTCACAGCTGGTGCTGGCATTTCAGAGACCTTGAGCTGGGAATCAAAAGATGGGAATTTCAGTCTCGGATGTGCCACTCCTTAGAGGTTTAATATCTACTAAACCCGGCGGGCTCCACTTGGTGGTGGTTGCTATTTAAAAAAACAAAAACATGTGGCAATGATCTTCCACGTGATTCTGACTTGAGCCCCACGCGAGTCTGCAGACTTACCCTTCCACTGCTTTGCCCTTCAAGTTTGTGCCCATTAGCAAAGAGAAATTTTCTCTTTGGGATCACTGCTGTGTTGATCTCAGGAATATTTGGCGTTGAATTTAACATATTTTTCATATGTGTGTGCAATAGGGAGGCTGAGAAAGTTGTCTTTTTTTTAAGGTGTTCATTTTTGGGGTACAGGTAGCAGCCTGCTCTACAATCCACACAGAAGCTGGAAATAGCCTCTAGAGAATTTCCACGTTTAGAGAAGATAAATTTATACATTTGTATCTAATCAACATTTTTTAGCTAACATAGTAGTCTAATTATACTATGTATAATTATACTATGTATAATTATGGGTACTGAAATGACTCCTGGCATATGCTGTATGCTGTGTTATATATACATATATATTTACACATATACATATATATTACACATATACATATATATTTACACATATATATTTACACATATACATATATATTTACACATATATATTTACACATATACATATATTTACATATTTTACATTTACATTTTACATTTATTTTACATTTTACATTTATTTTACATTTTACATTTACATTTGACATTCTACATTTATTTTACATTTACATATTTTACATTTACAAATATTTACATATTTTACATTTATATATACATATATTTACATACATATATTTACGTACATATTTTTACATACATATTTACATGTGTATATATTTACATACATTCACATACATATTTACATATATATTTACATACATACATATTTACATAATATTTACATACACATATTACATACATATATGTACACATATACATATATTTACACATATACATATACTATGTATAATTATGGGTACTGAAATGACACCTGGCATATGCTGTATTTAAAAATGTGAGGTTCAGTGAGAACACATGGACACAGGAAGGGAAACAACACATACTGGGGCCTGTCAGGGCGGGTGGGGGAGGAGCATCAGGAAAAATAGCTAATGCGTGCTGGGCTTAACACTGAGGTGATGAGTTGATAGGTGGACCAAACCACCATGGCACACGTTTCCCTACGTAACACTCCTGCACATGTACCCTAGAACTTAAAACAAAATTTTAAAAATAATAAAAAATAAAAATGTGAAATTCAGCACATAAACTGTTGGTTTTATTCTTCATATTTTCTTAATTCAGAAATTATTTTCTGAACTATGGTTTATTAGATAATTTTGACGTAACAATTTTTTTTTTTTTTTTTTTTTTTTTTTTTTTTTGAGACGGAGTCTCGCTCTGTCGCCCAGGCTGGAGTGCAGTGGCGCGATCTCGGCTCACTGCAAGCTCCGCCTCCCGGGTTCACGCCATTCCCCTGCCTCAGCCTCCCGAGTAGCTGGGACTACAGGCGCCCGCTACCACGCCCGGCTAATTTTTTTTTGTATTTTTTTAGTAGAGACGGGGTTTCACCGTGTTAGCCAGGATGGTCTCGATCTCCTGACCTCGTGATCCGCCCGCCTCGGCCTCCCAAAGTGCTGGGATTACAGGCGTGAGCCACCGCGCCCGGCCGACGTAACAATTTTTTAAGAGGAAATTTAAGTTTTACTTTTTAATTGGGGCTCTTGGTTCTTTTTAAGAAAGACAGAGATAAATCATTTATACATTTAATTAGAAGAGACTGGGCTTGAATTTTTAAAAAGTACTAGAAATCGTAGCCACTATATATGTTATCTTTGAAATGTTTTAGACACTAATTACCTAAACAAGGAGCAAATAAGTTAAAACTCTTGGATTTTAATAAGAACTAAAATGTACAGTTGTATTTTCTGGTTTTTTAAATTGTTACAGTCTAAATTTATTCTTCCTAATGAAGAAATGTATGTGCCGTCAATATCAGGTTCTTTGTGGGTACTCACAGTTCCCTTTGCCTTTTACGCAGTGAATGTGGGCAACATGCGTGGAACAGAAATGATGTCGTTTTCTTTCTTTTGAATATCACTATGAATCTAATAATTCAAAGATTCCTAACTTTCTGAATGCCATTATTAATTGGATTCACAATGACTTACCAGGTACAGAGTTGTCCCGTGTGTCTTGGGGTGAACTACTGAGAGTGGTATGAGGGAAGCGATTCTCAGCTAGCGCTGAGTGGGGCCACTTCCAAAGAGGTGATGGGGTAAGAAGCACACACAATGTGGCATTTTCACTGCAAAGGGAGGTTTGTGCTGCCTCTCCTCCTGTGGCAGGTCTGCTCGCAGGGGAGGCTCCAAAGTTTGGCTTTGCTGGGTTTGGCATGTGAGAACTGATGAAATATCTGTATGTAGTATCTTTCAAGGATTTATATCGGTTGGATTTCTGTGTAAATTTGCATATCCCTTTGACTGCTTTACCCCATAGAAGCTTTGTATGCTTAACAAAATCTGTAACTTTTCTGTCACTTTCTCATTTAGCATCTGCCTTTCTGGCTTTTTACTTTATCTTTTTATTATTGTTTTTAGTTTAATGAGATTATGGTTAGAGAGAAAGATGGGTGCATGATTCCGCTTCTTTGGAATTTGTTGAGATTTTCCTTATGGCTCAGTACATATGTACTTGGGGGGGTGAATGCTGTCACTTTGGAGAGATGTTTTTTCTGTACATTAAGTCAAGCTTGTTAATTTTCTAGAGAGATGTAAATCTTCTATGTCTATGCTGATTGTTTTTTGTCTCTTTTATCAGATACTGAGATATGTATTTAAATTGCCCTCTGAGGGTTGCAATTTTGTCATATTTTGCTTTCATGTATTTTGAGTGCTAGTTATTAGATACATTAACATTTTAGATTACCTTCTCCCTTGGTTTATTAGAATTTTTATCATTATATTGTGGCCTTAAAAAATCTCCCATATTGCTTTTTGCCCAAAGCCTATTTTATCTGATAATAATATAGCTTCCAACCCTTCTTTGGGTTAGGTACATATGACAGGTGTATCTTTTTTCAATCTCTCTCAGTCTTTCTGTGACTTTATGTTTTAGATGTCTTTTCATACTGTTTATTTTCTGTTTTTTGTGTTTTTTTGTGTGTTTTTTTTTTTTTTTGATACGGAGTCTTGCTCTGTTGCCCAGGCTGGAGTGTAATGGTGTGATCTCGGCACTGCAACCTCTGCCTCCTGGATTCAAGCGATTCTCCTGCCTCAGCCTCCTGAGTAACTGGGATTACAGATGTTCACCACCACGCCGGCTAATTTTTGTATTAGCAGAGATGGGGTTTCACCATGTTGGTCAGGCTGCTCTCGAACTCCTGACCTTGTGATCCCTCCGCCTGCCTCATCCTCCCAAAGTGCTGGGATTACAGGCATGAGCCACCACGCGTGCCCTAATTCTGTTTTATAGTCATTTTCTCTTAATTATTCAGTCTATTTACATTTATTGTGATTGTTGGCATAGTTTCTTTTATAACTTTCATCGTATTTTGTGCTATTTGTTCCATCTGTTTTTATTTCTTCATGTCTTTTTTGTTTCGTTTTTGCTAATTCCTTTTATATTCATGGTTATTCTGCTCTTGAAATGTATGCTATGTGAATATATTTGTGAGTTGACAATACTTTATTAGCAATTAAATATACTATTTCTCTTTTTTTTAGAACTTGCTCAAATGTTACATAACCTCAATATCCTTAGTATCTAAATTAAACTGACTTTCTGAACAATCATCATTTTAAGGCAGTTACCACGATCTACTAAAAAATAAAAAAAAATTAGCCGGGTGTGGTGGTGGGCGCCTGTAATCCCAGCTACTCAGGAGGCTGAGGCAGGAGAATCCCTTGACCCTGGGAGGCAGAGGCTGCAGTGAGCCGAGATAGCGCCACTGCACTCCAGCCTGGGCGACAGAGAGACTCCGTCTCAAAAAAAAATAATAATAATAATAATAAAGGAATTTAAAAAAAGACTGGGTTTAACCATGTTGCCCAGGCCGGTCTGGAACTCCTAGGCTCAAGCAATCCCCCACGCTTGGCCAGTCCAAAGTCCTGGAATCAAAAGCGTGAGCCACCACGCCAGGCCGATCACGCCTGTCATCCCAGCACTTGGGGAGGCGGAGGTGGGTGGATCACCGGAGGTCAGGAATTTGAGACCAGCCTGGCCAACATGATGAAAACCCGTCTCTACTAAAAATACAAAAAAAAAAATTAGCCGGGTGTGGCGGCAGGCGCCTGTAATCCCAGCTACTCAGGAGGCTGAGGCAGGAGAACCACCAAAACCCGGGATGCAGAATTTGCCGCGAGCGGAGACCCAGCCACTGCACTCCAGCCTGGGCAACAAGAGGGAAACTCCGCCTCAAAAAAAAAAAAAATAATAATAAGAGACAGATTTTCACCATGTTGCCCAGGCAGGTCTGGAACTCTTAGGCTCAAGCAATTCCCCACGCTCGGTTGTCCAAAGTCCTGGGATCAAAAGCGTGAGCCACCACGCCAGGCCGATCTATTTCTTTCTGATTAATAAATTGGGCCGGGAGCGGTGGCTCACGCCTGCAGTCCCAGCACCCCGGGAGGCCGTGGCGGGCGGATCACCTGAGGTCGGGAGTTTGAGACCAGCCTGACCAACATGGAGAGACCTGTCTCTACCAGAAAAAAAAAAAAAAAAAAAAAAAAAAAAAAAGAGCCGGGCATGGTGGCTCCCGCCTGCAATCCCAGTCACTCGGAGGCTGAGGCAGGAGAACCACCCAAACCCAGAGGCAGAGGCCGCGGGGAGCCGACACCGCACCACTGCACTCCAGCCCTGCAACAAGAGGGAAACTACGCCTCAAAAAAAAAAAGGAGAGAGAGAGAGAGACCGGTTTTCACCACGTTGCCCAGGCTGGTCTAGAACTCCTAGGATCAAGGGATCCGCCACGCTCGGCCCGTCCAAACTCCTGGGATCAAAAGCGTGAGCCACCACGCCAGGCCGATCCTTCCTGTCATCCCAGCACTTTGGGAGGCCGAGGTGGGTTTACCTGAGGTCCGGAGTTCGAGACCAGCCTGGCCAACATGATGAAAACCCATCTCTACTAAAAATACAAAAAAAAAAAAAAAATTAGATGGGTGTGCTAGCGGGCGCCTGTAATCTCAGCTACTCAGGCGGCTGAGGCAGGAGAATCGCTTGAACCTGGGAGGCAGAGGTTGCAGTGAGCCGAGACAGCGCACCACTGCACTCCAGCCTGGGTGACAAAGTGAGACTCCGTCTCAAAAGTATATATATATAAAAATAAAAAATGAAATAAAAATAAATTGGGTGTGTGCGCTGGCTCACGCCTGCAATTCCAGCATCCCCGGAGGCCGAGGTGGGCGGATAACCTGAGGTCTGGAGTTTGAGATCAGCTTGCCCAGCATGGAGAAACCCCGTCTCTACCAAAAACAAATAAAAAAAAATTAGCAGAGCAATGTTGGTCAGGCCTGCAATCCCAGCCACTCCGGAGACTGAGGCAGGAGAACTACTAAAACCCTGGAGGCAGAAGTCGCTGCGAGCGGAGACCCAGCCACTGCACTCCACCCTGGGCAACAAGAGCGAAACTCCGCCTCAAAAAAAAAAAGAGAGAGAGAGAGAGACCGGGTTTCACCATGTTGCCCAGGCAGGTCTGGAACTCCTAGGCTCAAGGGATACCCCGCGCTGGGCCATCCGAAGTACTGGGATCACAAGCGTGAGCCACCACACCAGGACGATCTATTCCTTTCTGATTAATAAGTTGGGCCGGGAGCGGTGGCTCAAGCCTGCAATCCTAGCACCTCGGGAGGCCTAGGCAGGTGGATCACCTGAGGTCGGGAGTTTGAGACCAGCCTGACCAACAGGGAGAAACCCCATCTGTACCAAAATAAAAATAAAAAAAAAATACAAAATTAGCCGGGCTTGGTGGCTTATGCCTGCAATCCCAGCCACTCTGGAGGCTGATGCAGGACAACGACCGAAACCCGGGAGGCGGAAGTCGCGGCAAGCAGAGACCCAGCCACTGCATTCCAGCCTGGGCAACAAGAGCGAAACTCCGTCTCAAAACAACACAAAACAAAAAGACCAGGTTTCACCATGTTGCCCAGGCCTGTCTGGAACTCCAAGGCACAAGCGATCCACCCTACTTGGCCGTCCAAAGTCCTGGGATCACAAGAGTGAGCCACCACGCCAGGCAGATCAAAGCGTTGAGCTGAATAAAGAGTTATCTTTTAGCATTTTGTGGAGCCCGGGTAGATCTGTGCAGGGGGAAGCATATTACAGAAGCGAGAAACAGAGAGTTATTTAATTGAAGCACGCATTATGTTTTTTTTTTTTACGTTTTTAGGAAAAATATGTTTTGTGACTTGCATTTGTTTGTTTAGTGACCTTGCAGTTGCACAGTTAGGGAATTAGGGTTTTGATAATGCCTGGGAAGGGAGCGATAAGGCTCACTAGCCATAGGAAAACAGGTAGTTTTTTTAAAGGACTAAGGCTCTTTCTCATTCTCAGGGGGAATTGGGTTTTTTTTACATACAGCTGAGTTTTTGCTTACACATTTTTTCATTTCTTTTAATTCCTGTTCCAATGCCAGCATCCTTGCGGTGCGGTTTCCCAGCGGCTCTCTTGCCTTGCAGCTTGTGTCGGGAGTTGCAGACAGCCATGGCCCATGGGCCTGGCGCTGACGGACCCTGGAGCGGTGTCTGAGGGAGGTGGGCAAAGCCACTGGCTGGCCCGAGTGCATCCTCACGTAAGTGCACAGATCCCGGGCTCGGGTGCGACTGCGGTCGCACGTGGACACGGGTTGCAGACCCCTGGCAAATTGTGGAGCTGGGGGAAGGTAAGGGGAAATGTAAATCACTTTTCCCCACATTTCAGAGGACCTAGGCTATCAAAATTTTAAAAATTGTTAAAACTTTTACAGTATGGATCTCTCAGATGAATGTTATTGAAATCAACCTAACCTCAGTTATTCACGCCTATAAGCTCCCCTTGAGGCTTATTACGGCCCCCATCCCCCTACACACAACTGTGTTGGTTTCTCCTTCCGCCTGTGCTCCTAAAGCACTCAGTGTTTACCTGCCATCATACTTTATTGAAAGCACAAACTTGTCACTTGTCTGTCTACCCCACTAAGCTTCTTGAGAATTAGAACTTTCATGTCTCTTCCCAACACAAACGTTTTATGTGTATTTTGTTGAAGAACTTCAAATATGACCTATAAAATTATGACTCATTTATGTTTCAAACTCCAACCTCTCCCTTGAGTTCCTTGCTCACAAGCAACTCCAGACTGAGCTTAGTTGGAATTCAGTAGCGCACAACTGGGATATCCGCACCGTACGGCTTTTAACAATTTTTTAAATTTTGATCCTCTCAGCATCACAAATTCACTGTGTCCAAAATACAGTAGAATGTTGTTTCTACCCACCTACACTCTGCCATCCGCTGAAGTCCTTTCCCCTTGCTCCACCACTCAAGCCTTGCCTATCGCAGTAAATGGCAGTTCTGTCTCTCCAGTTGCTCGCACATAAAACTAGGCTGCTATTTTGATGTCTTCACTTTTCTCTATTCTGTATCTAATTCCTTAGCAATCCTGTCAGTTCTACCTCCAAACTGTACTCAGCATATTCACTGCTCTAACTCCAGCTTAAATCACCATCATCCTTTGCCTGGAATGCTGCATCAACCTTCTAATCACTCTACTTTCCTCCTCCTCCTTCCTCCCTTTCTTCTTCCTTCGTATAAATCATCATTTCATCCTTCTGCTTAAAATCTTCTCACATTTTCTTATTACACTTAAAACGGCAAACTCTTACCCTTGAGCCCTGCAGAATTTGGCTCCCATCAGTCTCTCCAACTTCACCTTCTGCCTCCTTCACGCTATAGCCATGCTCACTTTTTTATTCCTCAGGCTTACCAAGCTCAATTGCATCTTAGAGAATTTGTTCTTGCTGTTTCTTCCGCCTGGAATACATGTTTCCCAATCTTTATAAGACTATACTTGTCTGTAAGTTTCATCTCAGATGTCACATCTAGGAGAGGTTTTCCTTGACCACTGTAGCCAAAGCAAATGTTGATCATTGAGTGAATAAGGGAATGAATGAATGGAGTGGTATATAATGTAGCAGAGTAGAAAATTTAAGGCTAATTCTCTATATATCTCCAAGCAAATAGATTTGTAATGCTTTTCCTGCCAACAATCTATACAGATGATTCACAAATACTTGGTTGACAGGTTTTATATATCATTGTGGCTCATCAGCTTATATATTATTGGGGCCAGAATCTATACTTACACTTTATTCAAATTTGATTTTACAGAAGAGTTGAGGTTTTTATTTTTCTTTTAATTAAGAGGGCTGTGAAATTATTATCTATAATTCTAAATCTCATTTAATTCCTCCCAATAGGTTTCAAGATGGATTGGAACCAAAGTTCACTTCTTTAACAAAAGTGCTTTATGACTTTAATAAAACAGTAGAGAATGGTAGAATCCATGGCAGCTCTTTACAAAAACTTGTGATAGAAAGTTTTGATGATGAGCAGACTTTGCAACAACTGGAATTGCAAAATGAAGCAATTTTACAGTGCTTCCAGAATGCGGTTAGTGAAAGAAAGATGAAGATATCAGTCTTCTCCCAGAGAGTGAAGAACAGGAGCATGAAGAGGCTGGTTCAGAAACAGAGGCTGATGGCCAGGAGGACCTAGAAGATTTAGAGAAGGAGGAGGATGTGTCAGATATGGGTGGTGACAATCCTGAAATGGGTGAGAGAGCTAAAAACTCAAGCAAATTCAGGGCCAGGCGCGGTGGCTCACGCCTGTAATCCCAGCACTTTGGGAGGCCGAGGCAGGCGGATCACGAGGTCAGGAGATCGAGACCATCCTGGCTAACAAGGTGAAACCCCATCTCTACTAAACATACAAAAAATTAGCCAGGCGTGGTGGCAGGTGCCTGTAGTCCCAGCTACTCGGGAGACTGAGGCAGGAGAATGCCATGAACCCGGGAGGTGGAGCTTGCAGTGAGCCTAGATCACGCCACTGCAGTCCAGCTGGGCGGCAGAGTGAGAGACTGCATCTCAAAAACAAAAACAACAATTACTTAACTTTAGGATGCTCCAATAATCAAAATTGATAGTGGCTTGTGAACAGATAGATTACTTGAATAGAATAGAGCCCAGAAATAAACCCAAATGCTTCTGGGGGAGTTTGGTACATTATAAACATGACATTTTAAATCAATGAGGAAAAGAAATCATTTGCAGCTCACCCCACCATACACAGCAGGAATAGGAAGTCATTGGCAGAATAAAAAGATGGTAAGAACAGAACAGAATTGTAGAACAGTACATTTCTTGCTTCCCCACTTTTCAAAGTATTTTTTGCTTTTTCACAAATGTAAGTGTAATTTTATTTTCTAAATGTATACTAATTCTTTTCTTCTCTTTCTTAGATGAATGACAAAAATTACATCTTTAGAAAAAGAGTTGTTAGAAAAAAGCCTTGGCTGCATGTGGGGGAAGTGACAGCACAGAAGAGACCAGAGAAGAGCCTCCTGGAGGAGAGCCTGCACTTTGACCATGCTGTCCGGATGGGTGCAGTGCTCTTTTCTGCAAAGTGTTCACTTCTCTGCTTTTTCTGTGGTCCCATTTCATAGAAAGATTTGGGGTGATGTTTCTTTCCCTCAACTTTTATTTTGAAAACTTGCAAACACAGAAAAGTTGATAAAATCATACAGTGAACATCTGTATGCTATTCAACTGGATTCACTAGTTAATGTTTTGTCACACTTGTTTTCTGTCTTCTGCGTATGGAAGATTGTATATGTGCCCTTTTTCCCTCTGAATCATTTCAAAGTAAGTTGGCAGTATCAGAGCATTTCACTGTTAAGTACTTTCGCAGATATCTTCTAGGAACCAGGACTTCTCCTATATAATCACAATACCATTAATCCACCCCCAAAATTTAACATCAATACACTAATGATACCTACTGTATAGATTATAATCAGCTTCCTTGCAGCAATCTGTTTAGAAGGCTTGCATCCTGTCACTGTCCACTGATTAAATTTTGAACTCTAACTTGAAACCCTGGTCATCTCATTGCCTTCTTTCTTATACCCATTAAGTCAAAAGGAGCTCTCATTTTATTTCAACAGAAAAGAGAATGGAAAAGAGGGGAAGAGTCCCTAGTACCTTGGATAAAGTATGAGCACTTACTACCATATGTATTCTAGTTCTGTAGTTTTCAAACTTCAGGGAGCATCTCAAGGCTTATTAAAGCACAGATAGCTGTCCTTCCCCACTTTCTGATTCAGGAGGTGTGGGGCTGGCCCAGGAATTTGCATGTCTAACAAGTTCCCACGTGTTTCTGATGCTGAGGGTCTAAGGACTACAATGCATGAATCCGTGGTTTAGTGGATATCCACCTAATGAATACATGTTGTATTTCCTTTGGCACCCGTGATTACAGAGGAAACACCTTTCAACTGGAAGGTATCATTAAACAGAGGATAAGAGATCAGATCAGTAAGAATTAAATTTCACTTAATTGAAATGTCACTCAAATGTTTAGAAATAATATGACAGGCCAGGCACAGTGGCTCATGCCTGTAATCCCAGCACTTTGGGAGGCCAAGGCAGACGGATCACTTGAGGTCAGGAGTTCGAGACCAGCCTGTCCAAGATGGTAAAACTTCCTCTCTACTAAAAATACAAAAATTAGCTGGGCATGGTGGTGCATGCCTATAGTCCCAGGTACTCGGGAGGCTGAGGCAGGGGAATCGCTTGATCTCGGGATATGGAGGTTGCAGTGAGCTGAGATGCGCCACCGCACTCCAGCCTGGGCAACAGAGTGAGACTCCATCTCAACATAAATAAATAAATAAATAATAAATAAATAAATAAATAAATAAATAAGATAAAAATAAAAATAAAGGGAAGATGGGGCAGCTTTGTGTATTGCATGTCCTGAAAATGGGCTGATTTCTCTCAAGAGGCAGGGATTTAAGCTCTGTAGCCTATGTGGGATACATACAGGAGAAAAAAGAAGAAAAAGAAAAGAAATGTAAATATAAATAAATGAAAATAACACTTTTCCATGATTATAAAGGAAATCACATTGTTTTTGTAATAATTTGGATGACAAAATGTAAAGAAAAATCTTTAATTTTGCCACTCAAAACATTCCAGTTTGTTGCTTTTCACACTTTTTATGCTGTAAACATTTTAAAAAGTAGAATCACAATACATGGTCTTTTGTCACTTACTATATTTTAAGCATGTTTCTATGGGAGAAATATATCCTGGCATCATCACTTTCAACAGCTGGATGTATGTTAAGTGAATCATTGCCACCCCAGAGGTGGATTTCCTTCTATATATATTTTAATGGACTCGAGTGAGGATTTTTGCACTGAATTCATAGAAGTAGAATTTCTAGAAGAAAATAATATAAAACAGTTTTAGGATTTTTAAAACAAATGTTCAAATCATCCTATAGGAAAATTGGTTGAGTTTACGCTCCCACCAACAGGGACAGAGCTCCAGGTTCCGCCTTCCATTTGTCGTCTTCGCTGGTCTTTAAGCAGAAAATCTCATTGTTTTCATTACCTTTCTTTGATTTCTAGTGCTTTTGAATCTTTTTCATTTGCTCATTGGCCATTTTTATTCTTGTGGGAAGTGCTGGTTTCTCCATTGCCCATTTTCTGCTGCAAATCATTCATTTTTTTTTCTGAGTAATTTTAAAGATTTCTTTATAGGCTAAGGATACAAACCTTTAATCTGTCATTGAGGTTACAAAGATCTTCTCCCAGTAAGTAATTTGTCACTTCACTTTATTTATTTATTTTTTGCTAGCAAAGCACCAAAGTCAAATTTCACTTAATTTTTATCCTGCTGAATGAACACATTTTAAGTTAGTGATTTTAGTGGAAACAGGAGCAGGACAGAATGTAATAATTAGATCTCGCTCTGTCACCCCAACTGGAGTGCAGTGGCATGATCATAGCTACTGCAGCCTCAAACTTCTGGGCTCAAGTGATTTTCCCACCTCAGCCTCCCAAGTAGCTCTAGGACTACAGGTGTGTGCCGCCAAGCCCAGCTAATTTTTAAATTTTCTTTGTAGAGATATGAATTCGCTATGCTGCCCAGGCTGGTCTTTAACTCCTGACTTACCCCACCTTAGCTTGCCAATATGCTGGGAGTACGGGCGTGAACTACTGCTCCCGGCCAAGAGCTTACTTTGGTTTGCTAGCAAGGTTCTTGGTATCTTTTTATATTTGAGGCTTTCGTGCTAGTGCTGAAGTATTACACTCACCATCTGAGGTTTACAGGACTTTTGTTTTAATATTGAACCGAGGGAACTGTTTAGTTTTGCATCTTTGCAGGTATACAAAATGTGCCTACCAGGACTCTGCTTTATATCCATTGAAAAGCAAGAAGTAATACAGTAAAAGTTTGCCTGGCTACAGGCTTTGGAAGAATGGAGTATTCTGGTTTAATTCTATTAACTTGGAAGGATGAAGGTGGAAAAAATTCAAAACTTTAATTTCCTGTTGAATGCAATTTGAAAATATAGCCAATGAGTCCACTTTTCTTCTCTAGTAAGTTTGGACATTCAGATCTACTTGGTCTTTTATCATAGAACTCCTAGTGCGCCTGAGTCTTACGTTGTGAAAATCCTTTTCTAAAACTTTAGATGTAAGAGGATAGAAATGATATTGGATGAGATCAGGCTGGATGAGAACTGATACCTGTAGATATATTTTTTAGATGAAATCTCTGATTGCCACACGTTTTCTTATTGAACTCATAAAAATAAAACACACTGGCTGGAGGGTGGAAGTAGGAAGGAGATTTATGTCTTTTAATTGCATGTCATTGTTTCATATTGAGACAGAACATATAGTATCCCTGGCTTTGGACCTACAGAAGGAAACACATTTTTCTACCTGCTGTATGGCAGAGGTTCCTGAGCACCTGGAGGGATTATTGCAGCACGGATTGCTGGGCCCTACTGCAGAGTTTCTGATTCATTCATGTCTAGGGTGGGGCCTGAGAATTTACATTTATAAGAAGTTCCCAGGTGCTCCTGGTCCGGAGACTACATGTTTGAGAGCCACCCTTACATACTAACTGTAAATTGTAGAACTCTAGAAAAAAGCGTAGTTTGGACTGGGAGAAGAAGCACACAGGTAATGGAGCAAATCATGAAAAAGTCAACCCTTGATCCCAGGTAACAAGCAATACACAGTGACATAACACAATTCTTGGTTTTCATGATTGCAAGTCATAGCCAAGTATCGAGTGAGAAATTCAGTTTCATTTTCAGGGCTTAGAGGCCAGGTGATTCTAGAAAAATCGGATTTAGTGATTAACTCATGAGAGTAGGAGTTATTTATGTCCTTTTTCTCTCCCCCATCACTTAGCATTTAGCCTTACTTTAGAAGGGTCCTGTATTTGCTTTAACCTTGTAAAGAACTTTGAGTGCTTATTAAATGGAAAGCCTTGTGTGTGTGTGTGTGTGTGTGTGTGCGTGTGTGTGTGTGTCTGTGCGTGTGTGTGTGTGTGTGTGTGTATTTAGAGACAGAGTCACATTCTGTAGCAGCCCAGGCTGAAGTGCAGTGGCATGATTTTGGCTCACTGCAACCTCTGCCTCACAGGTTCAAGGGATTCTCCTGCCTCAGCCTCCCAAGTAGCTAGGATTACAGGCACCTGCCACCATGCCCAGCTACTTTTGTATTTTTAGTAGAGACAGGATTTCATCATGTTGGCCAGGCTGGTCTTGAACTCCTGAATTCGGGTGATCCACCCGCCCCAGCCTCCCAAAGTGCTGGGATTACAGGCATGAGCCATCACGCCTGGCTCAAAGCTTTGTATTTTTAAAGATATTAGACATGTTTCTTGTTTGTTTGTTTTTTTTAAAAAAACTAAACGCTAATGTAGGAGAATAAGAGAAAGTTTTTCCAAAAAAGAGAAAACATTGTGATTATCTTATTGGAATGTTGGATAATAAAGTCTGCTTTATCAATCATCAAGCACACTATAAAATTTCCATTTTAATAGGACTTGTACCTCAATTGAGGTAATAAAGTTTTAAAGTTTTTAAAGTGAAAGCCAGCCCCGCCCCTCTCCTGGAGTGGGCGGGGACAGCGGTTGCATAGGCAGCTTTCCTTGTGACAACACAGGTCCTTGATGACACGCTGCTGTCTGGCCACACCTCCTTTTCCTTTCATCTTTCTCATTGACCAATGGGCTTCAAGCATGAAGGCCACACCCCTATTCTGCATTCTAGTGCAGCCCTGGTTACGCCTCCTCTGGCTCAGTCACACAGCGACGTAGAGGTGACTGGAGGTATATACTTGTCCTCACCTGGATCATGCTGATGTGGCCCCAACCCCACCTCCCTACCCATCCCCACCTCCCTACCCATCCCCACCTCCCTACCCATCCCCACCTCCCTACCCATCCCCACCTCCCTACCCATCCCCACCTCCCTACCCATCCTATGATGTCCAAAGAAACCAGACAGAGCAAATTGGCCGAGGCCAAGGAACAGGTAAACGCACCAACACCCCAACCCAACCCGAGGCCCCCTCTGACAGCCGAACTGCTGCCAGAGTCTGTGCCACTCCTGAGGGACACCAGGCTGGGCCCCCCACCCCAGTGCCTCTGGGCTCCCCACACCAAAATCTTGTCAGCCAGCCCAACCCCCTCATAAGTCCTGCCCCTGCTCTGCCCGGCACACCAGGGTGACTTTGAGCAGGTGACTCCTGGGGCTTCCAACTCCATACTCCGCCCTTACCTCCTGCTACCCCAAACCCGACCTCCCTGGGCTCCTTGAGCTCACATCTCCAAGGACCTGGGTGCCCCAGAACCTGCCCTCACCAGTTGCCACAGGGTGACTTTGGGGATGTGACTCCTGGAGCTCCTTGCTCCTTAATTGGCCCTCACCTCCTGCCGCCCCAAGCCTGACCTCCCGGGGCTCTTTGGGGTCACGTCTCCAAGGACCTGGCTCCCAATTTTGTGACCCCCTCCCCAGTCTCAAAGCGGCAACTTGGGCATTGCACTCATGTGTCCCCCCCAACAACTCCACCGAGGAGTAGAATGTAGTGATGTCACAGTCCCGCTACAAACTGTCATTACTACCACAAGACCGGCCTTTGGTCTTAGGACCCAGTCCCCTAAGTGTTCTTGCCCACTTCTGTTTCCTCTGGTTGCAGCACAGGTTTCCAGCTGGAAGGGGAATGGGGACTGTGGGACCTAGAAGAGAGAGGTTTCAGGCTGCCTGACTTCCTTACCACAGACCTTGACAGTGTGAAAAGCCTACACCTCCCCCATGAGCTCAACACGTTGACAGTGTCTCTGGGTGGCAATGGGAGAATGGGTTTGGTTTGGTTTTCTCCCAGGCTTCTACTCTCCAGAGAGACTTTAACATTTTTTCTCAGTTCTGCACCTCAGATTTGAATTCTCCATTGTTCTGGGACCAGAGTGCCCCTCAGTCACTGGTTCTGGAGTGAGATCTGCTTATCTTCTGTGGAACAGATCTTGGGAAACTGAACTTAGCTTGAGTCTTCCTCATCTCATCTCAACCTGGGGTACTTTGAGTGCCACAGGATAAATATGGGGCATCTTTCTGAAGCATCAGTTTCCCTTGATTCTATTGAGAGGCAAAACATTAATGTACTTAGGGATGAAAGTCACATAGATTTATAAGCGTATACAAGACTTCTCTCTGAAATGAGGCTTGGGTTGTCCTCTTTCTGTTAAATTCCCAGATTTAGCAGAAAGGCTGCCTTCTGCCATGAGGAGACATTGATGTAAAGGTTTGAGAGGTACTGGTGTACTTTTTAACACTAACAGACGTGTGAGGGTGAATAACCCTAAACCACATAGTGCACAGTTCCTGCCTACTTAATATTTGCTTTTCTACCTCTGCCTCTGGTTTTGGTCCCTGGCAGCTGCTGATTTAGGGCAAAATCCCAGAGCTCAGAGTCAGAAGACTAAGTTTAAGTTCCATTACTGCCTTTTTTTTCAGCCATGGTATCAATCTCTCTCAGTCACTAAGTGATTGTGACAACATTTCCTACAGTTGGTGGCATTAAATCAGATGGTCTATAAGAGTATTTAGTATAAACTGTAAAGCAGGATGTGACTGTAGGAGCTTGTAGTTCTCATGAGTATCACTGCTCTTCCTTTCCACAGTTGACAGACCATCATCCCCAGACCAACCCTAGTGTTGGTACAGCAGCAAGCGACACCAAAAAGAAGAAAATAAATAATGGCACTAGCCCTGAGACAACCACTTCTGGTGGTTGCCACTCGCCTGAGGATGTGAGTCTTGGCTGGCCGGGCTCCTGGGGACAGAGGGCCCAAGGGGTGGTGGAGGGTAATTGTTAAGATTGTGGAAGAACTGCCAGGTACTGGCTAAGAATTCTGGGTTTGAATCCTACCCCTCCATCTGCTAGGGACATGATTTAGCGCAAATTGCTTGAGCTCTTTGGGCCTCTCTTTTCACATCCGTAAAATACGAGTGATATTGTTTTCCTTACGTTTGTGAAGTTTAAATGAGATTTGTCATTGTGTTTTTATGTTAATCCCTCGTCCAGGACCTGCTGTAAACTCTCCTTCTTGGGCTTGCGTTTCCTGAGGTAGAGTTAGAGAGTATCAGAGGTTTCTGTTAGCTCTGAGAGCCCGAGAGTTAAAGGCCCACTAGAATGGAAACCTCGGGGCCAAGGGCTCCTGTCTGCCTTTTCTGACCTCTATTCCCGCTGTGAAGAACCGTCCCTGGCCCGTATGTGCTCAACGTTTGCTGAGTGAATGCACCTTTCTAAATCACAAGCTGGCGGAAGGGTGGGCTTTTCTCGCACTCCACCTCTGAAGGTTTCTGTTACTGTCTTTTCAAGAGAATCTAGTTTCAGACTTTGAGTTCTGTGGCTGTGGGCAAAAACCAAAAAGACCCAAATCCTTCTTCTTTGGGAGTTGAGGAGAGTTGACCAGTTCATGTTCCCATTGGGTCTGAGAACTGTGCCTTTTAAATCCATTCCTGGCCCCTGCCTATCGCTTCCTGGCCTGGGGAATAGAGTCAAGGGGGCCACCCTCAGTCACCTTCCTTTGACTCTCCCCACAGAAACAATAGAACCGAGCTCAGCTGGAAGAAGTAGTGTGATTTCTTTGCTCACGACATGACCGCTGGGTTTGGGGGCACTCAGATGTAGAGGCCCCAGGCTCATTTCACCCACTCCCAGCCTGGGGAAGAAGGCTCACCCCCAAGATTCCACCCCATCCCCACAGGGTCCCTGATA
Organism: Homo sapiens; assembly: GCF_000001405.40. NCBI lineage: Eukaryota > Metazoa > Chordata > Mammalia > Primates > Hominidae > Homo > Homo sapiens. The sequence continues at coordinate 22,461,920 of NC_000015.10, forward strand.
AACTGGTCCCATGGGTGGGCCTGTTCTGGGACAGTGGTGCCATTCTGGGGGCATGTCTCTTGCTGTGGATCTCTGCCTACCCCTAGTAAGAGCTCTGTTTTCCTCTTTCTATAGGAACAGAAGGCAAGCCACCAACATCAGGAAGCCCTAAGGAGGGAGCTAGAGGTGAGTGGAGGGTGTGAAGTTCCCTCCTGCCCTCTGGAGAATGTTTCTTTGCTTCTCTTTCAGCATTTGCTTGTCTTTTCTCCCAAAGGCCCAGGTTCATACCATACGAATCCTTACATGTCAGAAAACTGAGCTTCAGATGGCACTCTACTACAGCCAGCATGCTGTCAAGCAGTTGGAAGGTGGGAATCTGGCACCCCATCATCCTTCAACCTGGCACTTTGACAGGCCTTTAGGGGGAGTCCTTTGGGCCACATCTGAATGTCTCTCATTCCAGGAGAGGCCAGGGATCTGATCAGCCGCCTGCATGATTCATGGAAGTTTGCAGGAGAGTTAGAGCAGGCTCTCTCTGCTGTCACTACACAGAAGAAGAAGGCGGATAGGGTGAGTCCAAACACGGCCCCGTCCCTTGGGAGCCCAGCTTCGCAGATGGAGGAGTGAGCCTAAAGGTCCCTTCTGTAGGATGGAGTGTCCTGCCCAGAAGGCAGCATGGCCATTTCTTGCTGCTTTTGTGTGTGGTTGTTAGAGGCAGACTGGGGCTGAGTCGGCTGTTGTGGGTGAGTTGGGGAGCACTGTGAGGAGCGAGCACTGGACATAGATCTCAGAGGCCAAGTGCCCGCCCTGCCCATACTTGGCTGTGGCCTTGGCCAAGTCCTAAGTGGCGGTTAGGGTACTTGTACCATAAAGGTACAGAAGAGTATCTTGAGTATGTTATTATTTGTGTGGAGAGAGGGGGCAGGTGTATATGTGTGTGTGTGTACGTATTATGGTAACATACATAAAACACGTTTGTAAGGATTCATTAAAAAACTCAGGATAGAGGCACAGTGTTGGGGGGAGATATTTCCCTTCTGGACTTTCTGAGTTTTGGACTATGCGAACGTATCATCCTTTCAAAAATTCAACAAAGGATTAATTTCCTCCTTCTTAACTGTGCCCCTACCTCCAGCGAAAGAATGGGCTTAGAGAATCAGATATACCTGGGTGTTGAAATCCCAGCTCCAAGTGATCTTAGGCAGCACTTAACCTTTAATACCACATGTTTTTCATCTACACAATAGAGGTAATAATGGTAACCGTCTCCTATGGAGGTTGTGAGGATTAAATGGGATTGTTAGCATAGTGCCTGGTGAAGCACTCAAGAAAGGTTCGAACAGTGGTAGTACTAACAGTAATAGCAATAACAATATTATCTGATCGCTCTGGGCCCCTGTTAGCCAGCTCTAAATTCAATCTCTTTCCCTGTCCCTTCCACATCCACTGAGTTCTTTGAAAAACAAATGAGGGCCAGGTGCTCTCGCTCACGCCTGTAATGCCAGCACTTTGGGAGGCTGAGGTGGGCGGATCACCTGCGGTCAGGAGTTCAAGACTAGACTGACCAACACGAAGAAACCCCGTCTCTACTAAAAATACAAAATTAGCCCGGTGTGGTGGCACATGCCTGTAATCCCAACTACTCGGGAAGCTGAGGCAGGAGAATTGCTTGAACCCAGGAGGTGTAGGTTGTGGTGAGCTGAGATTGTGCCATTGCACTCCAGTGAGGGCAACAAGAATGAAACTCTGCCAAAAAAAAAAAGAAAGAAAGAAAGAAAGAAAAACAAATGAGACCATGGGCTTGGAAATGCCTTGAGAACACGTCAGGTGTGATTGAGAGTGAGGAAGTGTTACTGTGGAGTAGTCACTGTAGCAGTTGTTCCTGGTCGTCCAGCTACTGCTGTGCCTGCTCTATCCTGACTTAACCTTTCTCTATTTGCAGTACATTGAGGAGTTAACAAAGGAGAGGGACGCCCTGAGTCTGGAACTGTACAGGAACACGTAGGATGGGGGAAGGTGGAATGGGAGGTCTGGGGGCCCTTAGCATGGGTGGTGTGCTGGGAGGTGGGGGGTCCAGGTGAGTGTGCGGAGAGGCTCATACATGTTTTCATGTGTGCACACGGAAGCTCTAGTGCTGGCTGTGCCACTGACTCATGGGGTAGCCTCAGGCAACTCATGTCTTCTCTCTGGCCTGCCACCTGGGACTTTTAATTCCTGGGGTCCCTTCCAGCGCCACGGTTCTGTGGTTGTGGGGCGAGGGTAGGGGGTCAATCACCAAAGTGGTCTTTTATGTTCTTCATTCATTCCTTTCTCTACTGCCTCTGGCCATAGCATAACTGATGAGGAGCTGAAGGAGAAAAATGCCAAACTACAAGAAAAACTTCAACTTGTAGAATCTGAAAAGTCTGAGATCCAGCTCAACGTAAAGGAGCTAAAAAGGAAACTGGAGAGGGCCAAGCTCCTGCTGCCACAGGTGAGCAGCTGCAGCCCCGGGGGTTGTGGGAGACCCATCCAGCTGGGACCATGGTCTAGGGATCATGCAGGGTATGGGGAGGCTCCAGCCAAGAGCTGGAAAATTTGGGTCCTTGTTCTGGTCCCGCCATAGAATCCTCTAGAGTGTGCTAAAAATGTACAAATTGGGGCCCTGCCTGGGGAATCAGAATCTCAAGAGTTAGGGCTTAAAAATATTTTTTTAAAGGATCATGGATGAAAACCATTATTTTATAGATTACATTTATTTATTTATTTATTTATTTATTTATTTATTTGAGAAGTAGTCTCACTCTGTCACCCAGGCCAGAGTGCAGTGGCGCAATCTCGGCTCACTGCAAGCTCCAACCCCGGCTTCACGCCATTCTCCTGCCTCAGCCTCCCAAGTAGCTGGGACTACAGGTGCCCACCACCACACCCAGCTAATTTTTTGTATTTTTAGTAGAGACGGGGTTTCACTGTGTTAACCAGGATGGTCTCGATCTCCTGACCTCGTGATCCGCCCACCTCGGCCTCCCAAAGTGCTGGGATTACAGGCGTGAGCCACCGCGCCCAGCCTATAGATTACATTTATGTGGCTAGCTCATGATTCTGCTTCCTTCTGAGGTTCAAAAAAACACTTTCACTATTCCAGCAGCAGCTGCAGGCGGAGGCTGACCACCTGGGTAAGGAGCTGCAGAGTGTGTCAGCAAAGCTCCAAGCCCAGGTGGAAGAGAACGAGTTGTGGAACCGCCTGAACCAGCAACAGGAGGAGAAGATGTGGAGGCAGGAGGAGAAGATACAGGAGTGGGAGGAGAAGATACAGGAGCAGGAGGAGAAGATACGGGAGCAGGAGGAGAAGATACGGGAGCAGGAGGAGAAGATGCGGAGGCAGGAGGAGATGATGTGGGAGAAGGAGGAGAAGATGCGGAGGCAGGAGGAGATGATGTGGGAGAAGGAGGAGAAGATACGGGAGCTGGAAGAGAAGATGCACGAGCAGGAGAAGATACGGGAGCAGGAAGAGAAGAGGCAGGAGGAGGAGAAGATACGCGAGCAGGAGAAGAGGCAGGAGCAGGAGGCGAAGATGTGGAGGCAGGAGGAGAAGATACGGGAGCAGGAAGAGAAGATACGGGAGCAGGAGAAAAAGATGTGGAGGCAGGAGGAGAAGATTCACGAGCAGGAGAAGATACGGGAGGAGGAGAAGAGGCAGGAGCAGGAGGAGATGTGGAGGCAGGAGGAGAAGATAAGGGAGCAGGAGGAGATATGGAGGCAAAAGGAGAAGATGCACGAGCAGGAGGAGAAGATACGGAAGCAGGAGGAGAAGGTGTGGAGGCAGGAGGAGAAGATGCACGACCAGGAGGAGAAGATACGGGAGCAGGAGGAGAAGGTGTGGAGGCAGGAGGAGAAGATACGGGAGCAGGAGAAGAAACGGGAGCAGGAGGAGAAGATGTGGAGGCAGGAGGAGAAGATACGGGAGCAGGAGGAGAAGATACGGGAGCAGGAGGAGATGTGGAGGGAGGAAGAGAAGATGCATGAGCAGGAGAAGATATGGGAGGAGGAGAAGAGGCAGGAGCAGGAGGATAAGATGTGGAGGCAGGAGGAGAAGATACGGGAGCAGGAGGAGAAGGTGTGGAGGCAGGAGGAGAAGATACGGGAGCAGGAGGAAAAGAGGCAGGAGCAGGAGGAGAAGATGTGGAAGCAGGAGGAGAAGATAAGGGAGCAGGAGGAGAAGATACGGGAGCAGGAGGAGAAGATACGGGAGCAGGAGGAGAAGATACGAGAGCAGGAGGAGATGATGCAGGAACAGGAAGAGAAGATGGGGGAGCAGGAAGAGAAGATGCAAGAACAGGAGAAGATGCGGAGGCAGGAGGAGAAGATAAGGGAGCAGGAGGAGAAGATACGGGAGCAGAAGGAGAAGATACGAGAGCAGGAGGAGAAGATATGGGAGCAGGAGGAGAAGATACGAGAGCAGGAGGAGATGATGCAGGAACAGGAAGAGAAGATGGGGGAGCAGGAGGAGAAGATTTGGGAGCAGGAAGAGAAGATGCAAGAACAGGAGGAGAAGATGCGGAGGCAGGAGGAGAAGATAAGGGAGCAGGAGAAGAAGATACGGGAGCAGGAGGAGAAGATACGAGAGCAGGAGGAGATGATGCAGGAACAGGAAGAGAAGATGGGGGAGCAGGAAGAGAAGATGCAAGAACAGGAGGAGAAGATGCGGAGGCAGGAGGAGAAGATAAGGGAGCAGGAGAAGAAGATACGGGAGCAGGAGGAGAAGATACGAGAGCAGGAGGAGATGATGCAGGAACAGGAAGAGAAGATGTGGGAGCAGGAGGAGAAGATGTGTGAGCAGGAAGAGAAGATGCAAGAACAGGAGGAGAAGATGCGGAGGCAGGAGGAGAAGATGTGGGAGCAGGAAGTGAGGCTGCGGCAGCAGGAGGAGAAGATGCAGGAACACTAGGTGAGGCTGCAGGAGCTGGAGGAGAGGCTGGGGAAGCTGGGGCAGAAGGCCGAGCTCTTGGGGGGAGCAGGCGGAGGTGTGTGCAAACCCTGGAGATCATACAGAACGACCTCACCACAACTTAGCAGATGGTGGTTGGCTCCCTCTGCTTTTCCACCAGTCTGTGGCCTACAGTTTAAATGGTGGGAAGAAGGGTGTGAGATTTGAGGCTGGGGAGGGAGGCATGGGCCTCTAGGCAAGGGAGGCAGTCATTTAGGCCTGGAGGAAGGGGCCAGGGCCAGGGGCCTGGGTAGGCGACAGAGCCCCGCAGTGCCCTCACTACCCTGTTTATGGGCCCAGAATCTGGAAGCCAGCCACTACCTACCCTGACGCCTATCCTGCAGGTGGAGCTGAAGAGCCAAGAGGCTGAGTCTGCAGCAGCAGCGAGACCATTACCTGGGTCACCTGCAGCAGTACGTGGCCGCCTATCAGCAGCTGGCCTCTGAGAAGGAGGCACTGCCCAGCTGCAGCAGCAGGAAGCTCAGGGCGAAGCGGTGGCCGAGATGGCCCACCAATAGTTGCAGGAGACCCGGTTGAGGGAGTTGATGAGGGCGGGGCCCCAAGGGGGATGATCTGGCAACCTCCGTGCCTTCTCACTCTCTTTCCTGGCCCCTTAGGAGCACCTGGAAGCTGCCATCTAATGAGCACATGACAAGAAGGCAAAGACAATAAACATGTAAAAGCCGGCAGCAAGGCCTGGAGAAGAGTAAGCCGCCATGTGACTGTTTAGAATATAGTCTGAGCACAAACCTGAAAAAAAAATTTTATTTATTTTAAATTGTGGCAAAATACTGGCCAGGCATGGTAGCTCACGCCTGTAATCCTAGCAATTTGGGAGGCCGAGGTAAATGGATGACCTGAGGTCAAGAGTTCAAGACCAGCCTGGCCAATACAAAAATTAGCCGGGCATGGTGGCGCATGCCTGTAATCCCAGCTACTTGGGAGGCTGAGGCAGGAGAATCGCTTGAACCTGGGAGGCAGAGGTTGCAGTGAGCTGAGATCGTGCCACTGCACTCAAGCCTGGGTGACAGAGCGAAACTCCGTCTCAAAAAAAAAAGTTTCTTCCTTACATGTATGTTTCTATTAGTTTTCTTCTTGGTCTTTCTCATTTAGTCTTGTGTTGTCTTTTGACATTCATAGTAAACTTTTATCTGCCTCCAGAGAGTATTGACTTTGAGTTTATGGCACACAATTGGAGTAAGGGCAGATCGCCTTCATCTACTTTGGGACTAAGCTGGTTCAAAGCAGGTTTTAGGTTTTCTGATGGCTGGTCTATGTTTTATTCATCTGGACTCCCAGGGGTGGCCCTTCCAGGGTCCCCACCAAGGTCCCATCTCCTTCCTGGGACCCAAATTCTCATTAGGTCATTTCAGCCCTGTGAGAGTGCCAAACATTCAGCTAGGCTCTCCAGCCTCTTAACTACCACTTCATACTCAGTTTCTTAGCCTCTTAGCCCTCTACTGTTGACCAATCACCAAATGTGGGAAAGCACTACAGACTGTCAGGATCACCTCCTAGGCCTGGTCACTCAAGTCCTGACTGAGGTCTCCAATTACCTTCCAACAATTGTTTTTGATTGGGGGCGGGGCACATTTTTATCCAGTTTTTCTAACTGCTCTTGTGGGGAGGCGAATCTGTAACAAGCTCCTCTGCCTTTATTGAAAGTTGAAAACCTTCATCTGTCCTTTTTTTGTTGTTGTTGAGATGGAGTCTTGCGCTGTTGCCCAGGCTCTAGTGCAATGGCACGATCTCTGCTCACTGTAACCTCTGCCTCCTGGGTTCAAGCAATTCTCCTGCCTCAGCTTCCCGAGTAGCGTGTGCCACCATGCCTGGCTAATTTTTTTTTATACCTTTAATAGAGGCAGGATTTCACCATGTTTTCCAGGCTGGTCTCGAGCTCCTGACTCAGGTGATCTACCTGCCTCAGCCTCCCAAAGTGCTGGGATTACAAGTATGAGCCACTGCATCCGGCCCATCTGTCTTTTAAAACATGTTTTTAATTGGAGGTATAATTTCTATTAGTGAAATGCACAGGTCTGGTTTACATTTTGATGAGTTTTAACTCATTTAACATTACTATGGAACCCACCTCCTTTGAAGATACAGAGTATTTCTATCATCCAGAAAGTTCTCCTGTGCTTTCATGCTGTCCCGCACTCCCCCAGCCAGCTGATGAACATGCTGAGGACATTGGTACTGGATTCTGGCCGCCCCAAAAGAGCCACTTTGACCAGGCTTACCCAGCACTAAATCCCTGCCTGCTCTCTCAAAATTTCCATCTTTAAACTGGTTGTACCTATAACCCTCCCTCATCAAGTCAATAGATAAACAAACCCTGAAAAATAAACAACTCTTCCTGGCCCAGCAGCCCACAGCCTAATATTTACTGTATTCCCAGGCTTTCAGAAATGTAACTCGCCTGCCGGTTCACCCTCACTAGGGCGGCAGCTGCACGGGAGCAGCTGGGCTCACCCATTAAGCAAGAAGCCAATAGCTGGACAGTGACACTCAGACCCCAGCCTGGGCGAGCCTGGCTGAAAGCCCCCTTCTTTCCATCCGACTGCGGAGAAAGGGGGCGGAGCACACACAACTCTACTGCCCTCCACATCCTTCACCTGTGCTTCCTCCTGGGAGAGGGAGCCGCTCATTAATTTGGCCAAAGTCTTCTTGAGGGCTGTAGGTTTCACAGGCTGGGTGTGTGGGGGCCACCGTGCTAGAGACAGAGGCTGGTGTGTCAGAAGGCAGCCACCTGGCCAGAGGGGGGTCAACCCCCTTGGTGACCTCCTTCCCCCGGCTGGACACAGTGCCCTGCACTCTCTACATGTGACTGTTCCCCTCAGAGCTGCTTCCAGGGGAGGGGTTCTAATCCTGTGGGTGGGGACATTGTGTTACTTTACAGTGGGCCATGGCTCCCTCTGACATCTCCAACTCAGAGGCAGTAGAGAGAAGATGAGAAATTCCCTGCCCCTCCTCCCTCAGCACCCCCACCTCTGCACACGTCCACATGTGGAGACCCTGACAATGGGCCCTGGGAGTGCCGCCATCTGTGCCTGCTTTCCATGCCTGCAGCAGCCATGCCCACTCTCCAGACCCTCACCCGCCTGGGTCAGTAGACGCTTCACTGCCTGTGGTCCTGCGCCTACACCTGGGCCTCTGTACCCGTCAGTTCCCCCAGTCTGGTTCTTATTCCCTGCAAAGAGTAGGGAGCCTGTAAGGTCACCTGTTGAGCAAGCTGGGGGAGAAAAGTAGGGTGGGGCTGGGAGGATCAGGATGAGAAGCTCATGGTCGTGCTGGAGACTCAGCTGAGTCTCCTAGCCAGTGGTGATCTCGCTCCCACCCTCATTTCTTCTTTGTTAACAAAACCATGGCCTCATTAAATACTGGACACCTATAAACCTCATGGACCCTCCTCCAGCCTCCCCACCGTGTACCGGTGAGTCTAAGTCAACTCTAGTCATTTCATTCCTCTGGACATTGACTGCTTAGGGCTTGGGCATGAGCTGCCTCTTCACCTGAGCCTGAGCCACAGGTACCCTCTGCACCTACCACGCTGATGCACTGGGCCAGGGAGAGCGCCGTCTGGATGGAGATGAGCTGTGAGGAGCTGGTGGCTGGGCGGATCAGGTTGTTGTAACAGGTTTTGTTCAGAAGGTCGTCCATCAGTTTCTGCTCGGCATGGGCCATGCGGCAGTCCCCTGGGTAAACACACAGACATGCTGGGCCCTTGTGCAGCTGTCTCCCACTGCAGATGACAGCTATGAAGCAGGAGCTGAGAGGGCCAGGGAGCACAGACACCCTGAGAGCTGGCTGAAGCAGTGAAGGTGCTGGCCGGCCTGGCTTTCCCTGGGGACTTCAAATGACATTCACGACAGAGCTCAGCTACCTCCTCCCCATGCCATACCTCTTCCTCCTCCTCCTCCCTCCGTCAATGAACAGCATCCCACGCTCTACACATCTGATACAAAACTGGGTGTCTCTTCCTGACTCCTCCCTTGGTTCACCCAAGTGGCCACCAAGTCCTGTCTGTCCTCCCATCTCCACGGCTACAGCCATGTCCCTGCCTCCCCCGCCCTGCCCACCTTCTGTTCTCTCCACCTGCACTCTGCCCCTGCCATCCATGTGCCATACAGTGGCAGACTGATCTTTCTACAGCAAACTGGACGAGGGCCCTTCCCTACCCACAGCTCTCAGAGCTGGAGGTGGAGTTGAAGCTCATGTTTTGGCTTGGCATTCAGAGCTCTTTCCCCCTCAGCACTGGCTTATCCAGAGTGCTCACAGTGCAGGGCAGGAGCCTCGTGACTCAAATGTGGGTTTGGTGCAGAACTGGGTCTGAGGTGGTGCTTTCCCTATGAAGAGACAGGGCCGACATGGGGGAATTTTCTGGGTTCAAAGTTAGACCTAGAGAGTGCAAAGTTTCTCTGAGGCACCAAATGGAGGGGTCCAGCTAGCAGCTGGCTCCTGGTCTGGAGCTTCAAGGAGAGGTCTCAGCTCAGAGCCACATTCAATAGCCAGCTTACATGTGGCCTCCTGCAGGGAGCCCCTGGAGCTTCCACAGCCTCCGTTCTGCCCCTCTGCATACCCCAGATCTCCTGCTAAGTGGCGTTTGGGTCTTCATGTCATCTCCCTCCCATGTCTGGGAGTAAAGGTGAGGTGCAGAGACTTGCGCTTGTGTACTCTGGTGTCTTAAGGGAGAGTGTGTCAAGTAGAGTGGAGGCGGCTTGGAAAGAGGGAGACTCAGAGGAGAGTGAAGGACACATGACCAGGCGAGCCTGGGAGCAGGAAAAGAGAGTGAGCAGAGGCAACTGCTGGGTCAGGGGAGCGGATGGGAGGATCAGGGAATGCGGGGGGGCTGGAGAGGTAGGGGTGGGGACGTTGGCGAGGGGCTGCCTGGCTCGCCAGGCTCAGGAGTCAGTTACATCCTCCCACAAGGGCCAGCTCACCTGGTCGCCCCAAAGACCTCCCTCTGTGGGTGGGACCAGAGGGCCAAGAGCACGGATAACCCAATTGAGCAGGACTGAGGCGGACTCAGGTGGGTGCTGGGCCGGACTCCTGGCTGTGGGGAGCAGCCGCCACCCTGCCTATTGCATCCACTTTCCAACTCGCTGCCTATCTGAGCAGATGCGATATTGGGCACCTTGTGAAACATGCTCCTGGTGCACCTGCTGCCTGCTGCCCCTCCTGCAGAGTGCCCGGGCTCTCCAGAGGGGATTCCTATGGAGGCTTGGCCTAGATTCTGAGTCCTGCCTCTCATACCTGGGGCTGCTACCCCAGAGGCCAGCTGCTTGAGTACCCCGGAAGCCAGTCTGTAGCCCCAGGCTACAGCTGGGTCCATCCCACAGCCCTTCTCTAACGTACCTATTTGGACTGGCTGCTCATTTCATAGAGAGGGGTGTGTCTTGCCCCAGACCATCTGGCATGTCTAAGGCAGCTGTGGGGTCAGAATCTGCAGCTCCCAGCCCTCAGCCCAGCAATAGTAGGAAAGGCTGGACCCCACATCTCTGAAGTCCCACTGGGTTGGTGCGAGCGGGCTCCCGAGTACAGGGCTGCTCTGCAGGCTGTGGGGCTCATGCGCCAGCTCTGAGCCCACCTGATGTGCTCACGTTGCTCACCTTTGGGCCTGTCCGGCCTCTCAGGCATTCGGCTGACCCTGAGGGCCTCTCCCTCATCTTGACCACCAGCTACGGGCTCTGATTTAGAGGTTCCCAGAACCTTAGACCATTTGGCCGGCCCCCCATTTCTCACCTGAGGAAACTGAGACCAGAGAGGGATAGCAACTTTCTCAAGGACCCCCAGCAATTCAGAGGCAGAACCAGGTCTAGGAGCCTCTTCTCGATAGAGGTTCCCCCTGTCCCCTGAGCCTTCGTTAGTGCCTCATTAACTTCCCTGTAAGGAAACTGCCCCGCTGAGGCTGGAAATGGTGCTGTCCAGAGTGGTGTGTGCCAGTGACTGTGCTTGTGTTTGTACTTGTGAGTGTGTATGGGGGTGGGGATGAGGGGTGGGAATAAACGGCAGGGATGCTGGGGGCTGGATGCACTCCACCTCACCCCAAAAAGGGGCGCAGGAGAGCCCAGCCAAGCACAGCACATGCTTCGACTTTCCAATCTGCTGAATGCCTGTGAGGCCGGCTGGGCCCAGAAGACAAGGGACAGGCCTTTCCCCATAGATGGCAGGGGGGGCCCAGGATGGGTGGAAGCTTCTGCCGCAGCTTTGGGGGTCACAACCCAGCCCATGGGCTGACACTTAAGCAGAAAAGCCACCTCTAGGGGTCAGTCATAATCTAGTGATTCTGATGAGGAGGGCCCCACCAACCTCTGTCCAGGGTCTTGTCTGGGAAAAACTGCTCCCTGGCAGAAAGAGGCTAATAATTTGAGAGGAAGCCATAGCTGAAACCCTAAGCTGTGTGAGTGCGTGTCCAGTTTGAGAAAGCATATCCGACTTAAACATTTGTATTGAAAAAATGGAAACATATTCCCCTTGTTTTGGAATACAAACTGCAGAAAGCAGCAGTTAACAGAATCTTATCGGAAAGGTCAGATTCTGCATCTGGAAAGGCACAGTGATTTTCAACTGCGGTGTGTGTCCTTAACTGAGGAAGGGAAGGTGAGATTTATGTTTAGTAAAAGGCAGCTATGAATTTACCTTTTATAAAGAACTTGCTATATACTATTAGTGCTTTTCAGTCATGTCAGAATCAGCCAGATGCCTGTGGAAATGCAAATTCCCAGGCTTCATTCCCAGAGATTCTGGTCCTGTGAGCCTAGGGTGGGGCCCAGAAATCTCTATGGGGTGGTGCAGCCTGCCCCAGGACCACACCAAGAAACACTGCAACTGGCCCACACACATCCCAGTCCACAAATATGTAGGCAGGCATCTTATCTCCACAGAACAGATAGGGAAACTGAGGTCAGAGTGGGGAAAGAAACGTCATGGGGCCACCCAGCAAGTAGTAGCAGAGCCACGATACACCCACTGCCTGCAGACACCATCTCTGATGACAGCTCCACCTCCCCACAGGAATCTTGCCTACCCCCACCCCTACCTCCTGCTGCCCCTATGGTGGGTCTCTGTCCAAGGAAGATGTATCCTAGGTCCTCTAGGCTGACTGCGGCTCAGAGGAAACCTTGGCCCAGAGTGTAGGAGCTAGAGGGGTCCTTGGAATTCACGTGGGGAATTTGAGGCCCAAAGAAGGCAGTCCTCACATTTGAACTCTGTCTGGAGAAGGGCTAGGTCTTCTTCCTGAGTGGTAGTTTTGACTTCACCAGCCTGGCCCTCAGTCAAGCTGGCTGTCCAGGCCCGCCACACCTCGGGGTGGGTGACCAGAGGCGGTGGTGCCATAAAAACACGTTTCCTGGGAGATCCACCCCCAAAGCTCCAAACATTCCAGGGCTGGTGATTTGGGCAAGCCCCCTTCCCTCTCAGCCCAGTTTCCCCATCTCTGCAACAGCCGTGCTGGTGGAGACTTCTGATACTGAGCTGCAGATTTTCTCCTGGGTGCCTACACAGCCCAGGTTGCCGGCTCCTCTGTGCCCACTCTTCAAGAAAGTCAGCTCTTAGGTAAGGAAGGTGCCTTGGCCCTATCAGGAGCAGGAGCCGGTGCACCCCCAGCTTCCCAGACCAGTGGGGATGACCCAGGCTGCCTACAAAGCTGCTGCCCAGCCCGGAGACACCCGCCTGGGAGGGTGGCCCTGGCCCTTGCAGCGGCTCTGAGAAGAGTCGGCCCCCACTCCAAAACTGGCAGAGCCACCCATGCCTTCCCTCAGCCCAAAGAGGCTTTTAGGAACATGAATCGTCTCAAGTTCAAACCCATGGGGTTGCTGAAAGACAAGACAGTGCAGGGTGAGCTGGTGCGAGGGAGCGCTGCTCGGTGCAGACTTTGCAGGGAGGGCACTTAGGAAAAAGGACTGGAGTCTGGGAGGGTTAACTAGCTTAGGGTTAAAGGGAGGGGATGGAGCTGGAGTGAGCTGGCCTCGTCCTCCCCCTTGGGCCTTCCAGCCTGGGCTCAGGTGATTCAAGGGAGCAAGCACCTCCCTCTCCCAGCCAGGGAGTTCTCGCCACATTCTGCAATCAGTACCATTCCCCTGGGGGCTGGGTGACAGCCCCCACCTCTGGACCTGGCTGGAACTGCTGTCTCAATTCTAGATCCAAAAGAATCTCTGGCAGCTTCTCCATCTCCCTCTCAGTCCAGCCTCACCTCTTCGCCCGTGGAGGAGCTCCAACAGCAAATCTGGCAACTGGAGGAACAAGGCAGGAAGGGCAGGGTCTGAGGAAGGAACCACCTTCAAAAGGCAGCTCTGCCACCTTCTCTCCAGGACTCTCAGGCTTGCTTTCCTATTGCTCCCTCGACATCCTTTTGCTATAATCTGCCATGTTGACGTATAGTCTTTAAAAGCAACAATGCTGTTGACGTGGAGCAGACTTCCCATTTGGGATGGTTTGGAGAAGTTAGGTTTGAGGGCATCCTCTCTTCTGCAAACTGCAGCAGTAATAGATGAGATATACAAAGTAAATAAAGGCTGGGTGCGGTGGTCGTGCCTGTAATCCCAGCACTCTGGGAGGCTGAGGCAGGAGGATCACTTGAAGCCAGGAGTTCGAGACCAGCCTGGCCAATATGGCGACACCCTGTCTCTACTAAAAATGTAAAAATTAGCTGGGCATAGTGGTGCACACCTGTAGTCCCAGCTACTCAGGAGGCTGAGGCAGGAGAATCACTTGAACCCGGGAGGCAGAGGCTGCAGTGAAATGAGATCCCGCCACTGCATTCCAGCCTGGGCGACAGAGTGAGACTCCATCTCAAAAAATAAAAATAAAAAATAAAGTAAATAAAAAAGACATGCCCAGGCTGAAAAATAAGTTAATTATCTCCATGAACGAAAAGCAGACAAGAAATGCAAAGTGGTTGGAGGCTGAAGAGCCTGGACCCTCCTGGGCTTTGGGAACCAAAGATGGTGGCAAGTCCTTTGGGATAAAGAGGGACAAAATGACTCCTAGCTAGAAGCTGGGAGCTTGGGTGTACCCCAGTACTTGAAAGGATGCTAGCTGGGCGCGGTGGCTAATGCCTGTAATACCAGCACTTTGGGAGGCCGAGGGAAAGTAACTCTTATGTCAGTGTGAAGCAAATCAGACAGGACAGGGGAACATGGAGGGGAGGAGAGCCAAACCAGGGCCTGGTTCCAGACCCACCACACACGCCCCGTTGAGCCAGGAGCACAGGTGGCTCTCTGCACAACATCAAGAGTGAGGACATGCTTTCAGCTCCACTTTAACTCAGGTTCCTAATGTGACAGCAGGCTTGTCAATCCCACTTGCCCCCGTGGCTCACACCAGAAAACTACCAGCAGTGTGAGTAAGGACAGAAGCAGGAGACAGAGGAGCCAGGGTTGGGGAATCCCATAGCAACCCACAGGCCCTCATCACACACGGCAAGGATGCGCCTTCACTGGGCTCACCACCACCACTAGACATCACCTTCACTACATGATACCCTGCCTGGATAACACCACTGTAACACAAGAAACAGGTCTAGAATCTAACATGTATGCTACACCTGAAGGAGCAAGAGACGGTAATACAATACAATGAAATTTTTAGTTTATTTAATATAAAATTTAGAGCCATAATCAAAATGTGTAATTCTGATGGGATTCACTACTTATAAAAACTTCGCAGCACTCTATTTTCAAATGTAAATGGTATTCTGTGGCTCCTCGCCAGCATGTAAATAACGATCTACTCTGAAATACGTTTCACGGCTTATTTTTGGCAAGCAGCGATTTCTCCAACCCACGTTTTCCAAGGGAAAAAAGGACATGAAATGTCTCCAAAAGTCTCTTACGATCTTTAGATAAACTACTGTTCAACAACTGCATCTGCCAAGTCAACACATCAAGAATCCTTCACTCACAAACACTTAAGGTGAGAAAACAGTGTCTACCCATGCAGGAGAGGGAAACATGATCCATGCTTATGAAGACAGCCTGGATATCGGCTACTGGAAAGCTGCGAATGCATTTTTCTTTTTCTACTTTCCAAAAGTTTTGTGAGGTGATACTTATTTCTATGTTTGTGTCTATTCTTTTTATTTTGTATTTTTTAGTAGGTACATCCTTACTATAAATCTGCTGTAGAACCAATGTCCCATACAGGACCCCACGTGCCACAGGAACCAAAAAGTCACACGCAGCGAAGACGAAGACACAGGAGACAACCTGTGTAGACAGCACAGAGCCACCTGCCCAGGACACCAATGGAGCCACAGGTGCAATTCAAAATGTTCTTAGTCGTATTAATAAACATGGCCAGGTGCGGTGGCTCACGCCTGTAATCCCAACACTTTGGGAGGCTGAGGTGGGCAGATTACCTGAGGTTGGGAGTTCAAGACCATCCTGGCCAACATGGTGAAACCCCATCTCTACTAAAAATACAAAAATTAGCCAGGTATGGTGGCATGCTTCTGTTAGTCCCAGCCACTCAGGAGGTTGAGGCAGGAGAATCATTTGAACCCAGGAGGCAGAGGCTGCAGTGAGCTGAGATCGTGCTACTGCACTCCAGTCCAGGCAACAGAGTGAGGATCCATCTCCGGGTGGGGAAAAAAAATTGTTCTTAGTCACATTAACAAAAGTAAAAAAAAAAAAAAAAAACACACCAACAAGAAAAACAACAACACATAAAATTAATTGTAATAATGGCTGGTTGCAGTGGCTCATGCCTGTAATCCCAGCACTCTGGGAAGCCAAAGCGGGCAGATTACTTGAGGTCAGGAGTTCGAGACCAGCCTGGCCAACATGGTGAAACTCTGTCTCTACAAAAATACAAAAATCAGCCAGGCGTGGTGGTAGTCCCAGCTGCTCGGGAGTCTGTAGTCCTGTAGTCCCAGCTGCTCAGGAGGCTGAGGCAGGAGAATCACTTGAACACAAGAGGCGGAGGTTGCAGTGAGCCAAGATTGCACCACTGCACTCCGGTCTGGTCAACAGAGTAAGATTCCATCTTAAAAAATAAAAATAATTTTAATAATGTATCATAGTTATTCCAACAGATCAAAAATATGACCATTTCAACATGAAATCAATCTAAGAAAAATTATTGAGATATTTTACATAGGTTATTTCATATTAAGTCCTCAAAAACCATCTGAGTAGCTTACATATGTAACACATTTCAATTTGGACCGTGAAATTTGCATTGAAAACATCTGATCTCCATTTAGACTCATAAAATACACAGTTGACAAAGTAGACTCCCAAGGCCAAGTGATTCTAAACATACTTAAGTGCTTTCTAATAACAGAATCAAATTTTCAAACCTGCATTTTAATGAATAAAAATTAAACAGATAAAATATTCAGTGTCTCAGCTATGACGGACAGACTTCAAGTGCTGATCAGCAAACGGTGTTGAGTGTAGCCAGATGGGCCAGCGCAGGCTACACAGCTGCAGCTCAAACAGCACAGCTGCAGGTCAAACAGGCCAGTCTCTCTGCGCACGGGAACAGTCTGGGCAAGCAGGAGACGGGGAAAACGGGCACTGCCCTCGTGAGAACAAAGGACCCACAACAGGAACCCTGCACTCACCCCCTGCCAAAGACCAACAGCCCCACGAAGCAGCCACTTCAGAAAAGGGAGAGGCATTCAAGAACTTAGAAAAGCACCTCTGGAAAATGCTCACTTTAAAACTTTGCATGTAACTGTACATTTTAATTACAAGGTTTTTAACATCCATTTTCTCATGTATTCTTAATTAACTCTGTGAAAGTAAACACAGCTTTTATTCTTACTCCTATAGTTACTGTGTTGGAAGTCCACCTATATGAACAAACTGTTGTAACTGAAATTTTCTGAGAACAAATCCCAAGCTCTTTCCATCGACACAAACTATATTGTTTAGTTCTCTTTATTTCCATTTGTTAAAGACCAGAATGTGTGAAATATGCATTATCAGATTAGAAAAACAAAACAAACATCAGAAAAAGGTTTTGCAAAG
Organism: Homo sapiens; assembly: GCF_000001405.40. Lineage (NCBI taxonomy): Eukaryota > Metazoa > Chordata > Mammalia > Primates > Hominidae > Homo > Homo sapiens. The sequence continues at coordinate 22,478,840 of NC_000015.10, forward strand.
TAGCATTTACTAAAATCTATGACAGAAACTAGCTCTAAAACTTCCTGTTTCAAAATTTCACTGTGTGTGCACTAAGTTAGTTTTTCTGGCTGTGGACAGCAGGCCCACCCCATGCCGCGGGCCCACCCCACGCCGCAGGCCCACCCCACGCCACAGGCCCACCCCACGCCACAGACCCACCATGGCCCCATGAACAGGCCAGCTGAGAGCTGCAGCCACTGCCCAGGGCTCCCTGGTCTGTACTCGGCTGCCTGACCCCAGCTGCCAGGGCTCTGCTTTCTCTATGTGTAGAAACAAAAACCAGGAGCATCAGTTGACGAAAAGCAGATTTTTATTGAACAGAGGTATAAATGTGTTTCATTTTCTAATAAATCTCTTTCACAAATCACCTTGCTGTTTCGCTCTTCTTGAATGATCATTTTTACACAACACTGTCTGACTGTTTTGGCTTCTGCCAAGGTTAGCGTCTGTTCACAGGCTGAGTCTGACTTCTTCCTCCCACCTCCTCCTAGTCTGGCCTTCCAAAATAATGCTCACCATTCTATCACATTGACTTCAGTTTTGAAAAGAAAAGTTATCTTACAAAGTAGTATGTATAACTCTGTAATATATAAAGTGAGGCAATGATACAATCAGTTTTAAAAATAACCTTCCATGATGATTTTCATTTGCATCCACCTGCTTATTAGTAAGAATCTTTTTACATGTTTACTGCACGCCCCAATTTCTCTTCAGTGAAAAACTTTTGAGTATCATCACACCCTCCAACTTCTCCTCTCACCTATATTGAAAAGGGTCTGCTCTTTATCCTAACATCTATACTAGGTAATTTTCAGAATATTCCTTCAATCATCAAACAAATTTTTGAGATCCTTGCGCTAGATTTCACTATCTTAATATGAAAACCAATAATCACCTATTAAAATACAATACAGGCCAGGCACAGTGGCTAACACCTGTAATCCCAACATTTTGAGAGGCCAAGGCAGGTGGGTCACCTGACGTCAGGAATTTGAGACCAGCCTGACCAATATGGTAAAACCCCATCTCTACTAAAAATACAAAAATCAGCCAGGTGTGGTTGCAGACGCCTGTAGTCCCAGCTACTCGGGAGGCTGAGGCAGGAGAATAGCTTGAACCCAGGAGGCGGGGGTTGCAGTGAGCCAAGATCGTGACACTGCACTCCAGCCTGGACGATAGAGCAAGACTCCATCTCAAAAAAAAAAAAAAAAAAAAAACACCATTAATAAGTAAATAAATAGGCCAGGCGTGGTGGCTAATGCCTGTAATCCCAACATTTTGATAGGCCAAAGTGGATGGACCACCTGAGGTTGGGAGTTCAAGACCGGCCTGACCAACATGAAGAAACCCTGTCTCTAATAAAATTACAAAATTAGTGGGGCATGGTGGCGCATGCCTGTAATCCCAGCTGCTCGAGAGGCTGAGGCAGAGGAATTACTTGAACCTGGGAGGCGGAGGTTGCAGTGAGTCAAGATCGCACCACTGCACTCGGGCCTGGGCAACAAGAGCGAAACTCTGTCTCAAAAAACAAAAAAGTAAATAAATAAAACACAATACAATACAGCTAATATGATTTACCTAAGAAGCTGTTGTATGAGCTGAACCAGAGGCAAACACTGTTTGCCAGAAGACTCACAGATCCCCGTATTAATAAGGTCTTTATCCAATGGAGTCCTCCTTCTATGAAATGTTGAGGCATTTGCTTCCTGTTCATAAATTTCTTTTTCCTTCCGTGCTTCTTTTTTTGTATCCTGTAATTGACAAACAGAAATTGTTTACAAGTGATCTCATTACCAGGTGTGAAGGCACACAGGCTGGCTGAGCCCTGACCCCAGTGCCAAGCTATCCCAGCCTCTGTGGCTGCCACACCCATCCACCCACAGGCCCCCACCTGCCCTGTTGGAAACCCCAACTCATCTGTGCAGTTTCAAACAGTGTCTTCTTTTTACAGATCCAAGGTCTAGGCTGCCTCTGCTGATGCTCTCCAGCCTCCTTCTGTGAAGTCCCTAAAATCCTTAACCCTGCTAATGGCTCACACAAAACCCAATGTGATCGGCTCCACACACACAGCATCCAGCTGCTCTGTAAGGACAAGAAGGAGCTAGAATTCTCACACACAAAAGTCCTGGTTCAAATGCAAATGGCAAAGCCACTTTGGGAAACTATGAACACACACTAACCCCAGGACCTAACAAATTCCACTCCAAGTGTTTATCCAAAGGGAGAACATATGTTCACTAAAGTACTTGTTCACAGCACAATTGTGGCAGCTCTACACGGCCAAAAACCAGAAAGCCTGGGCGCGGTGGCTCACGCTTGTAATCCCAACACTTTGGGAGGCCAAGGTGGGGGGATCACTGGAGCCCAGGAGTTGAAGACCAGCCTTGCAACACAGTGAAACCTTGTCTCTACAAAAAAATCAAAAAACTAGCCGGGCATGGTGACATGTATGTGGTCCCTGCAACACAGGAGGCTGAGGTGGGAGGATCATTTGAACCTAGGAGTACAAGGCTGCAGTGAGCCAACATCAGGTCACTGTATACAGCCTGGGTGACAGAGCAAGACCCTGTCTCAAAAAAAAAAAAAAAAAAAAGAAAACAAAAACCAAAAACAATTACATGTCCTTCAATAGGAGAATGAACTAACAAACAGTACTACACCTATAAAATGGAAAACTTCCCAATAATAAAAACGAAGTCGCAATACACACAACAGTGAGTGAATCTGAAAATCATTCTCCAAGGCAAAGCAGGAAAGAGTGCATACTATACAGTTATATTGCTGCGACACTCAGAGCAGGAAAAATGAATCTAATCTCAGGGCAGGGGAGTATCCTGGCTGCAAGTGCCAAGGAGCACAGGGATCTTTCCGGGTGACGGGAATGGTCTACATGAGGAACAGGTTACCTGTTAACTTCACTGAAACAGACAACATGCAGTATTTTATCACAAATCATCTCAATAATTTTTAAAATTAGCACATAAAAGAATTTTAATTTAAAAAAATACTTGGATATAAGTTTAGTGTTTTACTGTTTTCAGTTATTCTTCACATGTGTGAGTGTGGTATTTCCGATCTCAGCCCACCACCAGGTCACGTGTGCCTCCAAGGCCATACCTGGATCTCTGCAGTAATGGCTGCGTGTAAGGCTGACTCCAACCCTCCATCAGCCATCAAGCTGCCCACCAGAAGATCAATCACCAATCGATGACCTGGACTTATGCTCACTTCATTGCCTGAAACTGAAATAGAAAGTGTGTGCCAATTTGAGTGAAACGCCATCCCCTCCCAGCACCCTGACCCATGCCCTCTCCTGTTCCTTCCCCGAGCCCACCTCCGCAGGACAGGAGAGCAGAGTGCCCGGGCCTGCTTCTCAGCGGTGGGCAACAGCATGGACCAGCCGCTCTGCAGCATGGCCTGGGAGGCCGACTGCACGGTGCTCAGCACGTCTGCGCTGCTTGCCAGGGTCACCACCTTCTGCTTCAGGCTGTTCAGGAAGACGCTGCCCAGACCTAAACCAAGGAATTCCAGGTCAACCTGGTGACTAATGGCAGCATGCAACTGAAAGGAGAAAAACAATTTTCACTTAGAACCCCTAAAAATGAGTGAATTTCAAAGTCTTATTAAACACTGAATAAAAGTCAATTTGAAGTATCATCTAAATAGACAAAATAACTTCTCAGTTTACGTATTTTTAAAAACTGGACTAAAAAAACTCTTACCCACAATAGTTGAAGTATTTTCTAGAGGAATTTTTTTTAACCCCACTATGAACACATATATGGAAAAGCTCAAGATGAGCAGAAGAGCTAAACAACTAGCAACAGCAACCTCCACCCCGCCCCAACAATCTGCACCAAACACAGAAATAATGGCTACAATGTAACCACAAAAGCTGCCATAGGCGGTGGCTCATGCCTGTAATCCCAGCACTTTGGGAGGCCGACGGGAAAGCTCACTTGAGATCAGGAGTTCAAGATCAGCCTGGCCAACATGATGAAACCCCATCTCTATAAAAAAATCAGCCGGGTGTGATGGTACACACCTGTAGTCCCAGCTACTTGGGAGGCTGAGGCAGGAGAATCACTTGAACCTGGCAGGCCAAGACCGTACCACTGCATTCCAGCCTGGGTGACAAAGTGACACCCTGTCTAAAAAAAAAAAAGAGCTGCTAAAAATTAGACTGTGGAGCTGAGAGTACACAGGGAAACTCCTCAAGTGCAAAACCAAAATTCACGTGGGCACACACAGCAGGAGTCAAGAGGTTCCGGGCTCTGAAAGCAGAGCCAAGCCGCCAGGCTTCAGCACAACCTCCCACACGGGAATGCACACAAGGACCCACTGAACTCGAGCTTCCTGCAGAAGGCTGGGAGCCACTCAGGATCACCTGCCTGCCAGCCAACCGCAGCCAGGGGGCAACACACTGCCCGTCCCAGGCTTTGGGTAGCAAGAGGCCCCATGAGAAATCAGAGACCCGGCCTTGCCCTGTGAGTAGAAGTGAAATCAAAAGCACACCACTCATCTAGGTATAGATATCACAGGTCAGGAAATGACCACCGAAACTCACCTGGAGTCTGTGAAACCTACAGAACCCTCAGGACCCTGGAGAGGCAAATGCAAAACCATACGCTGGGACACCTCGACAGCCTAAGACATACACAAGGCCACGCCCCACAGCACTGACCAGAACAGACACATCACCGCAAACCAGGAGGGGCAGCAAACACCTGGGGCGCAACCACGCAAACGCCAGGATGCCACAGATATGGTGATAAATGAGTGCTACAGAGGACTAGAGGAGAAGCATGCTCCAGACCTCTGCTCAGTTCATTACTGCAACTAAACACTACACTCAGTTCTGTACATTCTAGAAGCAGGGCAAAAAGGGGAGGGGCTGGAAGAGGGACATGACGGGTTGTTACAAGAAACCACTGTAATAAAAGGGAAAAATTACTATGTCGAGAAAACCGTGGTTCTTGTCATTAAGTTAGAGGGTTTTATTACAAAGACAAAAGATGATGATCAAACACTTCAGCTTTAGTTTTGCTAGGGAGGAAGGCTTTTGTAGCTTTTATTTTGACCCTAACCACAGCCTTCATGGTGAGGAAAGGAAGGTATTGCTTTGGGAGCCAAGCTTACTGAGTAGATCAAGCTTGTTCAACCCACGGCCCGAGGGCAGCATGTGGCCCAGGGCAGCTTTGAATGTGGCCCAAAGTAAAATTTCTTAAAACATCATGAGATATTTTTGGGATTCTTTTTTTAAGCTCATCAGCTATCATAAGTGTATTTTATGTGTAGCCCAAGACAATTCTTCTTCCAGTGTGGCCCAGGGAAACCAAAAGACTGGACCCTCCTGGAGCAGGGTTTTCACAGGACAGAGGAGAGACAGGCCAGCACTGGTCTCTCAGCTGAGCGCTGTCTCTCTCCATCACCTGTGATCTCACCCAGTCATTTCTCCACACGCAACAACAGTAAAACAGTAAGAATACCAACAAACTAATGATTATAGCAAAAATAACACAATCCATATACACTCTTCCTGCATGCCGAGGCTGACTTCCAGGACAAACATAAAATAAACAGATCAAGTTTTTTAAGCCTTGCGTCCATTATTAGTGCATTACAATCTTACTTTAAAATACTTCCCCCAGCAGGCTAAAACCTATGTCCTTCAAAATACATAAACCTTCTTACAAATCGCTAAGACACTTATAAAAGGAGCAAGAGGAAGGGAAATCACGAATACCTGAAGTCGGGGAAGATTCAGCGTTGCCACGGCCACGCACTCTTTCTCCTGGGGCGGGGGCCAGTCCGTGGAGCCATCCATCCCCTCACTCACCTGCCGAAGCAGGAGATCCAGCTGCTCAAAAGTCACTGAGCAAATATCCACCCCAAAAGGGACATGGAGGCCAATGGACCACTCAGAACACGATGACCAAGCAATGCTCTAAGAGGAAACGCAACAATCGGAAATGAATCTCCAAATGCAGTTCTTGGTCTGTCGCACAGGAGTCACCAGCTTGTGTGATGGAGCTGCCTTATATTATTACCTATCATCCCTCTAACTGCCCAGTGGAAAAGCATTCATGGGTGTCTAGCTCACACACTATCAGCTTCCAATTCTCCCACCCATTTCACTAGCCCCATCTCACTTGGCCATACCTAAAAAAGTAAAAACATTTTAAAAAATCTTTTCACTCTCAAAATGATTAATGCACATTAATGGATGGCAGTGAGGCTCTCCATCCACTTGAAGTGGTATAATAGCAACTCTAACTAGACAATGAATTGTTAGACACATATAACACACACAATATCTTTCATAGTGAGAGAACAAGTAATCGGCAAAAATCTAGGAGAACTGTAGAACACCTTCAATAAACTGGATCTAATTTATAGAACACTTCACCCAACAACAGCAAAATACATATACTTTTTTTTTTTTTTGAGACAGAGTCTCGCTCTGTCGCCCAGGCTAGAGTGCAGTGGCGGGATCTCAGCCCACTGCAAGCTCTGCCTCCTGGGTTCACGCCATTCTCCTACCTCAGCCTCCTGAGTAGCTGGGACTACAGGTGCTCACCACCACGCCTGGCTAATTATTATTATTTTTTTAATTTTTATTTTTAGTAGAGATGGGGTTTCACCATGTCAGCCAGGATGGTCTTGATTTCCTGACCTCGTGATCCACCTGCCTTGGCCTCCCAAAGTGCTGGGATTACAGGCGTGAGCCACCGTGCCCGGCCATACATACACTTTACATATACTTTTTTTAAATTTTATTTTTTTTGAGATGGAGTCTAGCTCTGTCGCCCAGGCTGGAGTGCAGTCGCATGATCTCAGTTCACTGCAAGCTCTGCTTCCCAGGCTCAAGCCAGTCTCCTGCCTCAGCCTCCCAAGTAGCTGGGACTACAGGCGCCCGCCATCATGCCCGGGTAATTTTTTTTGTATTTTTAGTAGAGACTGAGTTTCACCCTGTTAGCCAGGATGGTCTCGATCTCCTGACCTTGTGATCTGCCTGCCTCGGCCTCCCAAAGTGCTGGACCATACATATACTTTTTAAGCACATACAGACCATACATATACTTTTTACACATATATGTATACATATATGTATATACAGACCATACATATACAGACCATACATATACTTTTTAAGCACATACAGAATGTTCACTGAGAACATAACCTGACACATAAATCTTAACAAATTTAAAAGAAATGAAATCATATGCAGTTTGTTCTCCAATCACAATGGTATTAAACTAGAAATCATTAACAAAACAATCTGCAAACACTTCAAAATAAAACAACATACTTAATAATCCATGGGTCAGGCCGGGCGCACTGGCTCACGCGTGTAATCCCAACACTGTGGGAGGCCAAGTTGGGGGGATCACCTGAGGCCAGGAGTTGAAGATCAGCCTGGCCAACATGGAGAAACCCCATCTCTACTGTAAATACAAAACAATTAGCCGGGCATGGTGGCGGGTGCCCGTAGTCCCAGCTAATCAGGAGGCTGAGGCAGGAGAATCGCTTGAACCCAGGAGACAGAGGTTGCAGTGAGCCGAGATCATGTCATTGCACTCCAGCCTGGGCAACAACAGTGAAACTCCGTATTGAAGAAAAATAATAATAATAATCATCATCATCATCATCATCCATGGGTCAAAGAACAATTCTCAAAAGAAATTAGAAAATATTTTGAACATAAATGAAAATGCACCAAAATTTGTGGGGTTAATTAAAGTACTGCTTAGAGGAAAATTTATAGCATCAAATCATTATATATTACAAAAAAGATAGGTCTAAATCAGCAATCCAAGTTTCCACCTTAAGAAACCAGAAAAAGAGCAAAGTGAACGCAAAACAAGCCAAAGGAACAAATGCCAAGATAAAAGCAGAAACTAATGAGATTGAAAGCAAAAAAAGAAGGGAAAAATTAATGAAACTTAAAGATCATTCTTTGAAAAGATCAACAAAATTGAAAAACTCTAGGAAAACTGACAAAGAAAAAAACAGAAAAGATACAAATTATCAGTATCAGGAATGAATGAAGGGACATCACTGCAGGCCCCACAGACTTCAGACGGTTAGCAAGAGAACACTAAGGAAAACTTGACACTTAAAAATCAGACAACTTAGATGAAATAAAGCAATGTCCGAGTGCCACAAACCAGGAAAATCCTCCTAGAAACAAACAGGTTACCTGAATAGTTCTGTATCTGTTAAATAAATTGAATTTGTAAAAATTTTTTTTTTTTTTTGAGCCGGAGTCTCACTCTGTCACCCAGGCTGGAGTGCATTGGTGCAATCTCAGCTCTCTGCAATCTCTGCCTCCCAGGTTCAAGTGATTCTCCTGCCTTAGCCTCCTGAGTAGCTGGGATTACAGGCGCACGCCACCAAGCTCGACTAATTTTTTGTATTTTTAGTAGAAACGGGGTTTCACCATGTTAGCCAGGCTGGTCTCAAACTCCTGACCTCAGGTGATCCACCTGCCTCGGCCTCCCAACGTGCTGGGATTATAGGCACGAGCCACCGTGCCCGGCGTAAAATCTTTTAGAAAGAAATCTCCAGGTTCAGATGGATTCAAAAACATTTAAAGAAGAAATAACACTAATTCTACACAATCCCTTAGAGAAAATGGAAAAGGAGGGAACACATGCCAATACTTTGTATAAGGTCAGCTTTCCCCTGACAGAAAGCCAGACGAGATAGTGTAATACAAAGAAAGAAAACTGCAAACCAACATCCCTGATGAGCATCAACAGAAAAATCCTCAAAAACGTGTTAGCAAGTCAAATTTAGCAATATAGAAACAGAATAGGGCCGGGCGCAGTGGCTCACGCCTGTAATCATAGGAATATTGGGATGCCAAGGAGGGTGGATCACTTGAGGTCAGGAGTTGGAGACCAGGCTGGCCAACATGGTGAAACCCCATCTCTACTAAAAACAAACAACAAACAAACAAAATTAGCCAGGTGTGGTGGTGCACACCTCTAATCCCAGCTACTCAGGAAGCTGAGGCAGGAGAATTGCTTGAACCCAGGAGGCAGAGGTTGCAGAGAGCTGAGATTGCACCAATGCACTCCAGCCTGGGTGACAGAGTGAGATTCTGTCTCAAAAAAAAAAAAAAAAAGAAAGAAAGAGAGTAGTAAATCGTGGCCAAGTGATGCCTATCCCAGTAACACAAGGCTTGGTCAGTATTTAAAAATCAGGCTGGTATAGTGTCTCACACCTGTAATCCCAGCACTTTGGGAGCTCACTGCAACCTCAAACTCTTAAGCTCAAGCAATCCTCCTGCCTCAGCCTCCTGAGTAGCTGAGACTACAGGTGCACACCAGCATGCCACGCTAATTTTTAATTTTTTTGTAGAGATGGGATCTCGCTGTGTTGCCCAAGCTGGTCTCTAACTCCTGGGCTCAAGTGACCCTCTCGCCTATGCCTCCCGAAGTGCTGGTGTGAGCTGTTGCACCCAGCCAAAATACGGCAGATTTGTAGTACCCCAGAAGGCTCCTTCCTGACCTACACTTTCCCACAAAGGAAACTACTCTTCTGACTTCAATCATCGTCAGTTCTGCCTTCCTGCGCTTCATCTAGGTGGGCTGGTACTGTGCACTGTCTCTCATACCTGGCTCCCTCTATTCACCCATGTCGTTGAGTGTTCCTACCACTTCATTTTTCTTTTTTGGCTGTGTAGTATTCCATGATGTGACTGTATCACCATTTATTCACTCTCCTGTTGATGGACATTTAGGTTGTTTTCATTTGGGGCTCTTATGAATAAAAATGGCAGTGAACATTCTTATATAAGTCTTTTTGTGGACATATGCACTCGTTTCTCTTGTGTACATGCTTAGGATGGAATTTCTGAACGTAGGCATAGATATAGCTTTAGTAGAAGCTGCCAAACAGGTTTCCAATGTGCTTATACAATTTTATGCTACTGCCAGCTTGACAGTTCTTGTAGCTCTACATCTTTACCAATACTCTGTATAACACAGCATTTAACTTTAAATAGAGATAAAACGATGGTAAGATCCAAAGAAGTGTGCATGTTCCTGAAGAACATCCAGTAAAGGGCCTATTTTATTCATCTGTTTCGGGCACTGAAAACCACTGCATGGCCGGATGAGGAAGGAGGCCTGGTACAACTCCCAAGAAGGCATGTGTCCCTCGGGTGGGCTTTGTTTCCCAGAAACTCTGGGGAAGGGGTGGAGAGGCACCTTCTGGGCCAGCTGGTCTCCTCTGGCTTTTCTTGTACCCTAGGGCTCCCTCCAAAGAGACAGAGAACAGCCTGGCCGGGGAGCAGTATCTCCTACTGCGCTTGCTGTGAGCCAGCCACTCTGCCTTCTTTCAGGAATTACAAAATCCACAGGTCCCCGGCATCCTTATTTATGTATTTATTCATTTATGAGGCATGGTTTTCCTCAGCTCTGTTGGATGGGTCTCTGTGAAGGGAGCTTGGTGGGGGCGAGTGGCCCCTCCCTGGAGGAGGCAGGCCCCTGGTCAGGATCTTTGGGGCTCCAGGTCTCATAAGTGGGGGGCCAGGCTCCCTAGAGAAACCCTTCTTGGCTAGGGCTGGGGAGCCCACCAGAGTGACCCAATCAGTTCTCAGGGCCTGTGATGGGGCCAAGTGGTTTTGAGAAGCCAGTGTTCAGCTCCATCCTAAAGAGCACTCATGCACGTTGGGGAGGAGGGCCGGGGTGCACAGCTCTGACCTGAGTCAGACCCACCTCAGGACTTAGCCCAGCAGGAGGCCCAGAGTCACTGACCATAAAACGAGCAGATGCCTCCCCCGTGCTGATGGAGATGAGTCTTGGGCATCAACTCTAATAATTTCTAACTGCACCCAGAAATACTGATTCACACAGCAACTAGTGAATAATAGCCTTTTAGAGCTAAAAAAGCCTCATATATTATAAATTAACATATGCATTTTACACAAACTAGAGGCACCGTGGTGGGCCAGCAGCAGCCTGTTCAGGGGCCACAACAAGGGAGATTGGATTTCCTTAAGTGCAATGGGAGTTACTGGCAAGGCTTTAAGGTTTTAGCCACAGGAAAGATGAAAGTATTTTAGAGCAATGTGGGTGGATTCAAAGTGAGGTTTTGAACTAGATCAGTTTTTTTTTTTTTTTTTTTAGACAGAGTCTGACTCTTATTGCCCAGGCTGGAGTGCAGTGGTGCTATCTTGGCTCCCTGCAACCTCTGCCACCCAGGTTCAAGCAATTCTCCTGCCTCAGCCTCCTGAATAGCTGGGATTACAGGCACCTGCCACCAAGCCCGGCAAATTTTTGTATTTTTACGGGGTTTCACCATCTTGGCCAGGCAGTTCTTGAACTCCTGACCTCGTGATCCACCTGCCTTGGCATCCCAAAGCATTAATTTTTTTTTTTTTTTTTTGAGACGAAGTCTTGCTGTGTCGCCCAGGCTGGAGTGCAGTGGCCCGATGTCGGCTCACTGCAAGCTCCGCCTCCCAGGTTCACGCCAGTCTCCTGACTCAGCCTCCCGAGTAGCTGGGACTACAGGCGCCCGCCACGATGCCCAGCTAATTTTTTGTATTTTTTTTAGTAGAGATGGGGTTTCACCGTGTTAGCCAGGGTGGTCTCAATCTCCTGACTTCCTGATCTGTCCGCCTTGGCCTCCCAAAGTGCTGGGATTACAGGGGTAAGCCACCACGCCCCTCCAAGTATTAAATTTTTTATTTAAAAAATCTCCCCTCTCCAAAGATCTCCCAGCATTTCTGCAGAGGTCTCTACCTAGGTAAGGAGAAGAAACTATTCTTGGCCGGGTACAGTGGCTCACGCCTGTAATACCAGCACTTTGGAAAGCCAAGGTTGGAGGATTCCTTGATCCCAGAAGTTCGAGACCAGCCTGGCCAACATGGTGAAACCCCATCTTTACCAAAAATACAAAAATTAGGTGGGTGTGGTGGAGTGTGCCTGTAGTCCCAGCTACTCAGGAGGCTGAGGTAGAAGGATCGCTTGGGCCTGGGAGGTCAAGTCTGCAGTGAACCAAGGTGGTGCCACTGCACTCCAGCCTGGGTAACAGAGTGAGATCCTGTCTCAAAAAAAAAAAATTATTTGTGAGGGTGAAATTTAAATACCTTTGTGCATAGCTATCAGTTATTCTTTGTTTTAATATTTAGTTTATTGTGAAATATAACACATATAGAAACATACATAAAACAACACACAGGGCCAGGCCCGGTGGGTCACGCCTTGTAATCCCAGCACTTTGGGAGGCCGAGGCGGACGGATTACTTGAGGTGAGGAGTTTGAGACCAGCCTGGCCAACATGGTGAAACCCCATCTCTACTAAAAATACAAAAATTAGTCAGATGTGGTGGTGCATGCCTGTAATCCCAGCTACTTGGGAGGCTGAGGCAGGAGAATCGCTTGAACCTGGGAGGCAGAAGTTACAGTGAACCAAGATCGTGCTACTGCACTCCAGCCTGGGCAACGGAGTCAGACTGTGTCTAAAAAAAAAGAAAAAAAATAAAGGCTGGGTGTGGTGGCTCACGCCTGTAATCCCAGCACTTTGGGAGGCCGAGGCGGGCAGATCCCTTGAGGTCAGGAGTTCGAGACCAGCCTGACCAACATGGAGAAACCCCATCCCTACTAAAAGTACAAAATTAGCCGGGCATGGTGTTGCATGACTGAAATCCCACCTACTTTGGAGGCTGAGGCAGGAGAATCGCTTGAATCTGGGAGGTAGAGGTTGTTTTGAGCTGAGATCACGCCATTGTACTCCAGCCTGGGCAACAAGAGCGAAACTCCGTCTCAAACAAACAAAAAACAAAACAAAAACAAAAAACACAGTGTAACATGTTATTATAAAGTCACTGCTCAGGGACCAACTTGGCCGCTCCTGTGCCTCTAGAGGGAAGCTCCTTCCCACTGTTCTTTAGAGTTTTATATGTTAAGTACAGGAGTCAACAAACTAGGCCTATGCACCACATCTGGCACCCAGCCTTTATTTATTTTTTGAGATGGCGTCTCACTCTGTCACCCTGGCTGCAGTGTGGTAGCACAATCTCGGCTCACTGCATCCTCCACCTCCCAGATTCAAGCAATTCTCCTGCCTCAGCCTCCTGAGTAGCTGGGATTACAGGTGTGTGCCACCACACCCGGCTAATTTTTATATTTTTGGTAGAGACGGGGTTTCACCATGTTGGTCAGTCTGGTCTCGAACTCCTGACGTCAGGTGATCCGCCTGCGTTGCCCTCTCAAAGTGCTGGGATTACAGGCATGAGGCATGATGCCTGACCCAGCCTTTTTTAAAATGAAGGTTTCGGCTGGCGCGGTGGCTCATGTCTGTAGTCCCAGCATTTTGGGAGGCCAAGGCAGGTGGATCACCTGAGGTCAGTAGTTGGAGACCACCCTGGCCAACATGGTGAAACCCCGTCTGTATCAAAATACAAAAATTAGCTGGGCGTGATGGCAGGCACATGTAATGCCAGCTACTCGGGAGCCTGAGGCACGACAATCACTTGAACCCGGGAGGCGGAGGTTGCAGTGAGCCAAGATCACACGATTGCACTCCAGCCTGGGCAACGAGCGAAACTCCATTTCAAAATACAATAATAAAAAAAAGGATGTCCTTTTTTGTCTCTCAACCCCGTTTTTTATTTTTTTTTATTTTCAGACAGGGTCTCGCTCTGTTGCCCAGGGTGGAGTGCAGGGGCCCGATCTTAGCTCACTGCGGCCTCAACTTCCCCAGCTCACATGATCCTCCCACCTCAGCCTCCCAAATAGCTGGGACCACAGGTGGGTACCACCATGCCCGCCTAATTTTTGTATTTTTTGTAGAGATGGGATTATGCCATGTTGCTCAGGCTGATCTCGAACTTCTGGGCTCACGTGTCTCTCTGCCTCCACCTCCCAAAGTGCTGGGATTGCAGGCCTGAGCTACCATGCCCAGCCCTGCTTTAATTTAAAGTGTATTACATTTGATATTAGTACAGCCCCTTCAGCTCTTTTTTGGTTACTATTTTAATTGTATCTTTGTATCCCTTTACTTTCAATCTGTTTCTGTATTTAAAATGTTTATCTTGTAGATAGCACATTGGTGGATCATATTTTGTTCTTCAATCCTTTCAGCCAGTCTGCTTTTCTTTCTTTCTTTTTGAGACAGAGTTTTCCTTTTGTCACCCAGGCTGGAGCGCTATGGTGCGATCTCAGCTCACTGCAACCTCTGCCTCCTGGGTTCAAGCGATTCTCCAGCCTCAGCCTCCTGAGTAGCTGGGATTACAGGTGCGTGCCACCAGGCCTGACTAATTTTTGTATTTTTAGTAGAGACAGGGGTTTCTTCATGTCGGTCAGGCTGGTCTTGAACTCCTCACCTCAGGTGATCCACCGCCTCAGCCTCCCAAAGTGCAGGCATTACACGCGTAAACCACTGCGCCCGGCCAAAGTGGTGGATTTTTTTTCTCAGAAAATCTATTCCATTCTTTTTCCAGAAACCAAATTTGTACAAGTTAACTAAAATAAATATTTATACTCTAATTTTTTTGTTCTGAGGTCTGAGTTTTTAGAATTTTATCTTTACATGTTTAGAAAAATTAGAAAATATAGATAGAACATAACCAAGAAAATAATAACAACTTTCCTTCTGTTCAAAGTTCATTACTATTAGCCGAGTGCAGTGACTCACACCTGTAATCCTAGCACTTTGGGAGACTGAGGCGGGCGGATCACTTGAGCCCAGGAGTTCGAGACCAGCCTGGGCAACATGGCAAAATCCCGTCTACAAAAACTACAAAAATTAGCCAGGTGTGGTTCCATGTGCCTGCAGTCCCAGCTAGTGGCAAGGCTGAGGTGGAGAACCACCTGAACCCGGTAAGTCAAGGCTGCAGTGGTGCAGCCTCTGTCCCCCAGGCTGGAGTGCAGTGGTGCAATGTCGGCTCACTGCAACCTCCGCCTCCCGGGTTCAAGCGATTCTCCTGCCTCGGCCTCCCGAGTAGCTGGGATTACAGTCACGTGCCACCACACCTGGCTAATCTTTGTATTTTCAGTAGAGAAGGGGTCTCATCATGTTGGCCAGGCTGGTTTTGAACTCCTGACCTCAAATGATCCACCTGCTCTGGCCTCCCAAAGTGCTGGGATTACAGGCCTGAGCCACCACGCCCGGCCGTTATTTTTCTTTCTTAGAGGCAGGATCTCACTCTGTCGCCCAGGCTGGAGTGCAGTGGCACGATCTAAGCTCACTGTAGCATTGATCTCCCAGGCTCAGGCGATTCTCCTGTCTCAGCCTCCCGAGCAGCTGGGATCACAGGTGTGTGCCACCACACCTGGCTAATTGTTAAATTTTTTTATTTTTATTTTTTAGAGATGGGGTCTTGCTATGTTGCCCAGTCTGGCAACATGGGATCCTCCAACTCCTGGCTTCGAGGGATCCTCCCGCTTCGGCCTCCCAAAGCGCTGAAAATTACATACGTGAGCCACCACGCCCGGCCTATATTGTTTTATAGTTCTTCAATTTTGTTTTGTGGTCGCTGGAGGTGTTTCCTTCTTCGATTCCCTGCACAGTGCTTCCACAGCTGCTCCATGGAATCTGCCCAAGACTTTTGCTGCGTTCAGTTGAACACACAGGAGGAAGCTCTTCAGGCCCCAGCCAGCCGACCGCACAAAGATGCGTTCTCATACCCAGGGGAGCTGGTCTCGCCACTCGACCCGCGCCCTGGATAGCTATAGTTAGTGTGAGCGCCACCTCCCGCCGCGGCGTGATCAAGAGCGCTCCGGGCCAAGCAGTCTCCCGTGGGAGTGCGGGAGCGCGTGCGTGCGGCGGAAATCCAGCCTTCCGGCGCCCGCTGTTGGCCTTGGCCGCAGCCACGGCGCTCCAAGTAGGAAGATAAGCGGGATTGCTGGAAGCGGGAGAGTCGGGAGGAGCGGCGAAGGGCTCCTCTTCCCCATTGGCTGCGCCCACGGAGCAGCCTCGTTGCGATTGGCCGTACGCGGGGGGCGGCAGTCCCGCGTCGGCCCGCCCCTCGGGCCGCGAGAGGCGCCGGGATCGCGGGCGCCGGCTGAGCCAGCGGCTCTTGGGAGGCTGCGTCCGCGCGCCGGCGGGGCGAGGCGGCCGGGCCCTGCGCGTCAGGTCCTGGCCTGGGGCACCTGGGCGGCCGGTGGCGGGGGCGGTACGGGCGCGGGGCTGGCGGGCGGCCGAGCCCGGGAGGCGGGCGTGGGCGCGGCGGCCGCACCGGGGCCTGCGCGGACCACCCGCGGGGCAGCCTCGGGCCTCTCTCCATCTCTTAAGTGGTGGTGGCTGTGGGTTTTTCTGCAGGCGATCCTTTTGAGTAATTTGTTTCACGCACGCGCCCTGCTGTGGGGTAAAGCGGCAGATTCATGCTGCTGTCATTTGTCGTTAAAACGATGGGCTCCCTGTTATGTGTGTGTACTTCTTGGATTTGAGGGCAGGGGGATGACATTGTAACTTGGCTTCCTGTGACCGTCCATTCTCAAGGTCTCGTCAGCGTGGTGCAGAAACTCGGCACACCCTGCCTACCTTGGAAGCAGGCTTTCCCTTCCCCACCTCCCTCTCTCTCCATCTCTTCCCTCTTTCCCTCTCTCCCCTTCTCTCCCCTCCACCAGCTCTTCTCTCCCCCCTTTCTGTTCTCTCTCTCTTTTTTCTTTTCTGCATTGAACCTTTCGGGAGTGTCTTTGTAAACTATTAAAAAGCATTAGGTCTTCAGCGTATGTGTTTACTTGCAGGCCTGAGACCTGGGAGGAAGCTGGAGAAAAGATGCCCTCTGAATCTTTGTGTTTGGCTGCCCAGGCTCGCCTCGACTCCAAATGGTTGAAAACAGATATACAGGTGGGGTTTGACATGTCTTTTTCTTGGTGTGTTTCTGCTTCCATGTTTAAATTTCTCGTGTAAGGCTTTTTTTTAGGGTATGTAAGGGGAAGTCAGTTGTATCTTGCTGAATTAGAGGAGCAGGTTTATTTCCTGTAACTTAAAATGTAACAGTCTTATGGCTGTTTTTGTAGATCGTGCGCGGCTGCCTTTTAATTAGTTTCTTGCAAGTGCACGAAACTTGAGATCTATTAATAGAGAAAATTTTTTTCCTATTTATTATTACTGGTTAAGAAATCTGCCACACTCCTAACCATATCATGGTGACTGTTGTTTGTTACTGATCGTTTTTGAGCTGTTGAGTTAACTGTGGAGGGGAAAATTGGAGAAGTAAGTTGCAGTAATTATGGCCTATAGAAACTCACTCATTCCCTGAGGTCAGGAGTTGGAGACCAGCCTGACCAACATGGTGAAACCCCGTCTCTACTAAAAATACAAAATTAGCCAGGCGTGGTGGTGTATGCCTGTAATCCCAGCCACTCGGGAGGCTGAGGCAGGAGAATCGCTTGAACCCGGGAGGTGGAGGTTGCAGTGGGTCAAGATTGTGCCGTTGCACTCCAGCCTGGACAATGAGAGCTTTTTTTTCAAAAAAAAAAAAAAAGCTGTTGTGGATGATGGGATTGTTATTCATAGTGTAATGTTACATAAGACAGAGTACAGAGAATTGGGTCAAGAATTGGTGTAGTTACTCTTTGGGTTTGTTTCTCTTTAAACATTTCCTTTGATTTAGCTATAATGATCTGTTTTGTCATTTTAAGTGGATGGGAGACGTGAGAGATGAGTACTTTCATATTTCTGAAATCCTGAGATTCAGGCAAAGTTTTAATAGTTGTTTTTATATTAGTGTTTATGTATTTTGAGAAACTTTTTGGAGTAAAGGACTTTACGTAATGAAGTTTTTTTCTTAATAATTGTAATTTAATAACTGCTAAACATGAGTTCTAGTGTCTTGATCTAAAACCAGTTTAATGCTGAATTGAGTTCCTATGATGGGTTGGGCAGATAAACATACAGTGAAGCACCATTTATATCTTAGAGGGCCTGTTGTTTTGATTTATTAAGTTTAATACACAGTACTTGGTCCTTGTTACACATTTCCAATATGATTAGAAAGTCTTTTTTTTGAGACGCAGTCTTGCTCTGTCGCCCAGGCTGGCGTGCAGTGGCGCAATCTTGGCTCACTGCAACTTCCGCCTCCCGAATGCAAGTGATTCTCCCACCTCAGCCTTCCGAGTAGCTGGGATTACAAGTGTGTGCCACCATGCATGCCCGACTAATTTTTGTATTTTTAGTAGAGATGGGGTTTCACTGTGTTGGCCTGGCTGGTCTCCTGACCTCAAAGCGATCTGCCTGCCTCGGCCTCCCAAATTGCTGGGATTACAGGCGTGAGCCACTGCACCTGGCCAAAAAAAAAAAGTCATCTAAATTCCTCCTAGGAGTAAGGGAAACGACTAGGTTTTGGATAGTGTGCACCAGAGGAAAAATGTGTTACAGGTCTAAGTAGCATGAAAAAAGTGATTGCTAAGTTTTGTTTTATGTTCCACCAGCATTGGTTGTTAAACACAAGGAATGAATGGTGGTGTTTTACCGTAAGGAATAAGACATGGTTTCCCTCTTTGGGGAGCTTCCCTGCAGACAGGAATTGCAGATGGAAGCCTTGTGCTCACAGGTTTTACCCTTATCTTGTTGAGGATGGCTCTCCCAGCTGGAGTGGGAAGCGCTTCACTGCTTGAGACTTTTGTATTGGAAACAGAATTGACACCTGGGTAATGAATAATACATGGGATAGGAAGATGTTTCTTAGCCATAGGATTTAACCGATCTGTTTTCCACAGCTGTTTTTGTTCGAAATGCCCTTAAAAGTTTTAGTAACTTTAGAAAGGAAGAGTTTTTGGAGTGTGAAAACTTATAATGCTTGTGTGTTATAGAGAGCACTTATTGACTTCTTTATCATAGACATTATTTGGATACGTCAGGCCTAGGACCCTACATCCAGCAACCTCTAATGCAGGGCTCATTTTATGCCAGGCATATATATCTGGTTATTACATATAAACAGTTTAATTGTTCAACACTTTTTTTTTTTTTTTTTGAGACGGAGTCTCACTCTGTCTCCCAGGCTGGAGTGCAGTGGTGCCATCTTGGCTCACTGCAAGCCTCCTGGGTTCATGCCATTCTCCTGCCTCAGCCTCCCGAGTAGCTGGGACTACGGGTGTCCACCACCACGCCTGGCTAATTTTGTGTACTTTTAGTAGAGACAGGGTTCCACCATGTGGGCCAGGCTGGTTTTGAACTCCTGACCTCAAGTGATCCACCCGCCTCGGCCTCCCAAAGTGCTGGGATTACAGGCGTGAGCCACCGCGCCCGGCCTGTTCAACACTCTTTTCTGCTTGATGTGTGGAGTGATTGAATCACCATGTTTTCCTTCACTGCTCTCGTGAAGAGTAATACATTACAGAGGTAAGAGGTGTCAGTCACATCACTTTTTATTTTTACCGTGAAAGTACTTCTAATCTGATGTGATTGGTAGTTTTTTAGCAAACCAAAAAGTCAGTTAAGCAAAGGAATCATAAAAACCAATATATGAGACCTTAAAAGCTTTTTATTCTTAAAACACATGCCTGTTCGCCAGTTTTGTTGTAAGGTAAAGGTGCATGTCTTTGAGCATAGGTCCAGAATGGAGTTATCCTGCCCCTTCTTGCATAAGCTGCACTCAGATGAATTTCCTACAGTTTCTATTTTTGGGTTCTTTTTTAAGTGGCACATGAAACTAGATATGCATGAAGCAATTTTTAAAAAAACTTTTTATTTTGAAATAATAATAGACTCTCAGGAAGTTGTAAAGAAACTAGAGAGGTCATTGTATATTTGCGCATACTGCCCCAGTGGTTACATTTTATGTAACCATAATAGAGTATAAAAACCCAGAAATTGAAGTTGGTACAATGTGTGTGCGTAGTTCTGTGCCATTCTATCAAGTGTCTGTAAATATAACTACTACTACAATTTCCTATGCAGAACTGTTTCATCACCAGAAAGATCTCTCTCCTGCCTCTCTTCTGCCACCATCTCTAACTCCTGCCAACCACTGATCTGTTCTCCATCTCTATAATTTTGTTACTGTGAGATTACCAAGTGATATGTGACCTTCGGAAATGATTTTCTTTACTCAGCATAATGCCCTCAGGTCCGTCAAGGTTTGTTGAGTATATCAGTAGCTAAACTGGGACCATTTATTTGTCTCTTCATCTAATCATCAATTAAAAATGACCACGCATAAATGTAAGCTTTTACAGTTAAACTTATTGTATATAAATATTGTCACTTCGGCTGGGCGCGGTGGCTCACGCCTGTAATCACAGCACTTTGGGAGGCCGAGGAGGGCGGATCACTTGAGGTCAGGAGTTCAAAACCAACCTGGCCCCCATGGTGAAACCCTGTCTCTACTAAAAATACAAATGAGCCAGGTGTGGTGGTGTGCGCTTGTAATCCCAGCTACTTGGGAGGTTGAGGCAGGAGAACTGCTTGAACCCAGAAGGTGGAGGTTGCAGTGAGCCGAGATCATGCCATTGCACTCCAGCCTGGCCAACACAGCAAGACTCCTTCTCAAAAAAAAAAAATGTCACTTCATGCTTAGAAATATCAGTAGATGGCCGGGTGTGGTGGCTTAGCCTGTAATCCTAACAGTTTGGGAGGCTGAGGTCAGGAGATCGAGATCATCCTGGCCAACATGGTGAAACCCCATCTCTACTAAAAATACAAAAATTAGCTGGGTGTGGTGGCACGTGCCTGTAGTCCCAGCTACTTAGGAGGCTGAGGCAGGAGAATCGCTTGAACCCAGGTGGCGGAGGTTGTAGTGAGCTGAGATCGCGCCACTGCACTACAGCCTGGTGAGAGAGTGAGAATCTGTCTCAAAAAAAATAAAAAAGGGCAGTAGATAAAAAAAGTACAAACATGAGTATCTTGATAAATTCTATTCTCAGGCTTTCAGGTTCATAATCCTGTTGATAGATGACATGTAGAAATAGAAGAATTTGTAAATATAGGAATATTCATTGATGTTTTTAGGACTGGATTCTAAGGGTGGTTTTTACCTCTAATATCCAAATACTGCTGCCTCAAGAGAACAATTTTTGTTTTCAAAATTCCATGATAAAAAAGATGCAGTAACCCTGTATGTGGCATTTTGTCAGGTTAATTAAGAGCATTTTGCAGCAAAAAAAAAAGTTTTTTGTAGAGGCAGGGTCTTGCTTTGTTGTCCAGGCTGGTCTAGAACTTCTGCATTCAAGTGATCCTCCTGCCTTGGCCTCCCAAAGTGCTGTGATTAGATATGTGAGCCACTGTGCCTGGCCTGGTGTTTTAAAGAACTAACTTTTAACTTTGGTTCTTGGAAAAGACTAGCAATACTTGTTATAAAAAAAAGGAA
The DNA here is from genome assembly GCF_000001405.40 of Homo sapiens. Lineage (NCBI taxonomy): Eukaryota > Metazoa > Chordata > Mammalia > Primates > Hominidae > Homo > Homo sapiens. The sequence continues at coordinate 22,500,138 of NC_000015.10, forward strand.
AAGGGTTTAGCCGTAGGACTTTGATGACAATTCCTTTTTTTTTTTTTTTTTTTTTTGAGACAGAGTCTCACTCTGTTGCCCAGGTTGGAGTACAGTGGCACTATCTCAGCTCACTGCAACCTCCACCTCCCAGGTTCAAGCCATTCTCGTGCCTCAGCCTCCTAAGTGGCTGGAATTACAAGTGTGCACCACCACACCCAGATAATTTTTTATATTTTTAGTAGAGATGGGGTTTCACCATGTTGCCCAGGCTGGTCTTGAACTCCTGAGCTCAGGCAGTCCACCTGCCTTGGCCTCCCAGAGTGGTGGGATTACAGCAGTGAGCCACTGAGCCCAGCAGATGACAATTCTTTATGAAGAAGAAATTGAGTATCCTGTTTAAGGCACTCAAGAAAAGAAAATGTGAGTAAAGCATTTTTTGTTCCAGCAAAACCGACTTTTCAGATGAAAAACACACAAACTTCTCAGTGAGCTGTAACTTAGGAAGTATTGTTCTCATGAGCCCTTCCTTAGGAATGGAGTGGAGAAAGATCTTTAGACAACTGGATGACTGTAGATCAACCTGCAACTGATGATGGGCATGAAACAGTTATTTGTTAAACCTAGACTGCATGAGTGTTAAGGGAGAGAGCATGGCATAGCCATGTGCTTAGACATTGTAGATTATGGTTGTAACTGTTATGCAGTTCTGTTAATCTCATCCATCCATTTTGTATTTTCATTTCTAGAGATTCCATTTGAGTCCTTTTTATATCTTCTGTTTCACTCCTTATAACATTCATGCTTTCCTTCTATTAGTATAGGGAGCATTTCTGTAAGAGAGCTTTTAATGTCCTTGTCTGTGAATTCTGTAATCTCTGATCACTTCTAGATCCATCTCTGTTGATTGATTCTGTCATTTCTATTGATTGATTGCCCTAGTTATGGGGGCATGGTTGTATGCCTGCTAATTTTTGATTGAATGCTAGGCATTAATTTTATCTTCTGTGCAGGATTTTGTTTTATTTTTTTAAAGAGCCTTAGTTTTCTTCTGCCATACATGTAAGTTACATGGGGTCAGTTTGATCTTTTCAAAGCTTGATTCTGAGGTTTGTTAGGCTGATCCACACAGGCTTTACTCTTGGGCTCATTTATCCATACAACGAAGGCAATACTGTTCTCAGGACTCCACCTGATGCTTGGTGTATGAGAAGATCTTTCTTTCCTTGTTTGTGGAAACACAGGCTTTTCCCAGACTGTGCATCATGGCAGTGCTGCTTATTACTTTCTAGTGCTGCTTTCCCCAGTATTCCATAGTTTTCTTAACCTATGCTCAGAGTAGTACTCAGACAGATACTCAAGGGGCCCCTCCACTCATCTCTGGAGCTTGCTGTATTCTTGTCATTTGGCCTACGTATAGCTGATCTGTCTCCTGAGCTCAGCAAGTTCTTTGGGCTCTATTTGGGTTCCCCTTTCCTGTGCTGCAGCCTGGAAGCTGCTTCTGGGCAGTGTTTCCCTTCTCTCAGGGATCCCAGCTCTGGGCTGTCTGTTGTCCAGTTTTTGGTAACAGCTTTTCGGTATATTCTGTCTGGTTTTCTAGTTGATTATAGCAAGGAAGTGATTTCTACAGAATTCATCCTTTATAGGTGGAGGAAGCACAGGCCTTCCCAATCTGTTTTTAATCAAATCCATTGAGTTTTAAATTTTACTATTATATTTTTCTATTCCAGAATTTCCATTTTTTAAACATATCAACTTTATTGAGGTATAATTATATTAAACACATCCCTTTAAAATGTTTAGTTTGAAATGTTTGACAGTTTCTTTAACTGCCACTTTAGGTACTTTTTTCTAGTTTCAACTTCTGTGTTGAAATTGTTAATGTGATCTTTTTTTTTTTTTTTTTTTTTTTGACAAGGAGTCTCGCTCTGTCGCTCAGGCTGTAGTGCAGTGGCACAATCTCGGCTCACTGCAACCTCCATCTCCTGGGTTCAAGTGATTCTCCTGCCTCAGCCTCCCGAGTAGCTGGGACTGCAGGTGCCTGCCACCACACCTGGCTAATTTTTGTATTTTTAATAGAGATGGGGTTTCACCAGATTGGCCAGGCTGGTCTTGAACTCGTGACCTCGTGATCCGCCTGCCTTGGCCTCCCAAAGTGCTGGGATTACAAGCATGAACCGTGCCCGGCTGTTAATAGGATCTTTTAATTGCTTGACTCTATTAAAGGTAGTTATTTTAAAAGTGTGTTTATAAACCTTGTCCGACCCCATAGATTCCTTAGCCGCCTCTCTCTGTCCCTCTTGGCTGACTCATGCCTGTGAGCCGCCCTTCGGCTCCAGTCTCCGCTGTGATGTCACGCAAGAGAGTTGGAGTATGGCTTCCTGACTGCCTACCAAGGAGCCAGTGACACAGCCTGGAAGGTGTGGCGAGTGTGTGTGGGTGTGAATTCCTTGTGGTATGAACGTTCACCACTTTACAAGGAGAGATGAGGGAACTCAGTGTTTTTATTCCTCCCTTTTTTCTTTCCTCTTTGGACTATTTTATGGTGTAGTTTCTTCTTGCAAACCTTCTGGAAAAGCCACATATGCCTAGTGAATGTGCTGGCTGAACAGTTGGTTGTATTTGCAGCTCATTGAGAAGAGGTGGCACTAACATAGGGGTCAGCACATTTTTTCTGTAAAGCACCAGATAGTAAATGTTTATGTGGGCCGTACGTGCTCTTTTAGAACAGCTCACCTTGGCCATTGTCCTGCGAGAAGCTGCCAAACATGTGTATGGCTATATTCCAGGAAAACTTCGTGGATACCAGAATTTGAATGTCATATAATTTTCATTTGTTGACATATGATTTTTTTTTTTTTTTTTTCTGAGAGGGAGTCTTGCTCTGTTGCCCAGGCTGGAGTGCAGTGGCGCGATCTTGGCTCACTGCAACCTCCACCTCCTGGGTTTAAGCAATTGTTCTGCCTCAGACTCTGGAGTAGCTGGGATTACAGGCGTGTACCATCATGCCTCACTAATTTTTTTTTTTGTATTTTTAGTAGAGATGGGGTTTCATCATGTTGGCCAGGCTGGTCGTGAACTCCTTACCTCGTGATCCGCCTGCCTTGGCCTCCCAAAGTCTGAGATGACAGGTGTGAGCCACCGTGCTTGGCTGACATATGATTCTTTTGATTATGTTGCAACCATTGAAAAATATAAAATCACTCTTTTTTAATATATATTTTTCTTTTTTTAGGAAATTAAAGGAAATAAGAATGGCTCCTACATAGGCAGAGTAGGCTAAAATCACACTTAGCTGACTGTGAAGTCATATACTGCATATCGTTACTTCATTGATCTCCTTGTCTCGCTTTCCCACTTCCCTCACCCCATTGCCCCGAGCTGACATCTGCTGAGCAGAGTGTCAACACTTCAGTTCATTCCTCAGGCTCTTCTTTCATGACAGAAGTCTTTATGTTTCTGTTTTCAGGATCTACTCAGTCTGTTCTAATGACTTCTATTTTTTTTTCATTTTTCAATGATGTGGTCTTGTATCTTTGTCATTATTATATTTGCTTGACTTTCAGATATTGTATATGCAATATTGTAGCAATAAATCGAGGCTCTAGGTAACAATATCTTCCTCCAGAGAGGATGTTCTAGGCAATCCCAGGTCACTGCAGTCCCTTTGGAAATTGAGAGAATGCGAAACTGGGCTGGTTTTCCGTGAAGGCTGGTCTACTTCTAACTCACCTGTATTTCTGGTGTGTGGCCCTTTGAGGTTCCAGCTCAGAGCATGGGATCTGCCAGGCCTCTTTCTCCTGTATGAGGGCCCTGGGAGTCTCTCAGAAGCTCCGTTTTGCTTCTCAGTCTCATCCCTGCGTGCTTAGGTTCTCTGGGCCTCTTTCTTCCTCTCGTGGGTCTTAGACTTTAGGAAGACCTCACTCCCTTGCTGCTTCTAGGATGTCTTCAAATCGACGTACTTAATGTTCCTGTCTGACCTTTCTAATTGTTCTAGGAACCTGTTCTTAACATTTTTTCATATGTTGTCCTACGTTCAGTAGGTGTTTAGTATTTTTCTGTAGGTTTAAGAAAAAAAGCCGTATACCTTTACTCATCTGCAAATATTTGAAGATTACTTTTCTGTCAAATTGTAAGGACATGAAAAAGAAACATTTTCTAACCTATACATTAATCAGATATTCATTTGTTATATTATTCAGTTTTGGATTTTATTGCCTGACTCTATAGTTCTGAAGTCACTTTAATAAATGCCTTAACGGGCTGGGTGCGGTGGCTCCCGCCTGTAATCCCAGGCCGAGGCGGGTGGATCACAAGGTCAGGAGATCGAGACCATCCAGGCTAACACGGTGAAACCCTGTCTCTACTAAAAATACACAAAAAATTAGCCGGGCGTGGTGGCGTGCGCCTGTAGTCCCAGCTACTCGGGAGGCTGAGGCAGGAGAATGGCATGAACCCGGGGAGCCAAGATGGCGCCACTGCACTCGAGCCTGGGCGACAGAGCAAGACTCTGTCTCAAAAAAAAAAAAAAAAAAAAATGCCTTAACTGTTTGCTTGCCTAGTCCTGATTGGTATTAAAATATTGGTGGCCTATGTATGGGAGCGTGAAGGCTTGCCCTGGCTGCCGTGCTGCAGGTGTGGGTGCATGTTATGGTGTTGGTGGGAAGCGAATAAGCCTTGGAGTTGGGCCTCTTCCCAAATCCCGCCTCTCACAGCCTCAGTGTTGTGTGGCCTTTGGTCAAGTCATTGGCCTTCTGAGCTTCAGTTTAGTAACTTACAAAAAGTGAGCCTGTTACTGCCTCTTTTGCTGGGGTCTTTTGACGATGAAAGTGCCTTTACTTGCCATGTCATTTCAGAGGTGTAAGATAGGAATGTGAGATTGGAAAAGATTGGAAAAGAGTTCTTAGCCCAAATAACCTAATTAGAAGCTTCTGGGATCTGAACCAAAAAAGTCAAAAGTTGAAAAGCTACTGGGCACGTTTAGGTAAGTCAGCTACTAATAAAAAGCTAATTGGAGACAGTTGTAGAAATAAATACTCTCACTTTACAAATGGAAAGTCCCATTCATTTTTTTCTTTTTCTTTCTTTTTTTTTTTTTAAATGAATAGGGTCTCTGTCACCCAGGTTGGAATGCTGTGGTGTGATCAGAGCTTACTGTAACCTCAAACTCCTGGGTGCAGGTGACCGTCCTGCTGTAGCCTCCTGAGTAGCTGGGATTACAGGCACGTGCCATGCACTTGGGTAATTTTTACATTTCTGTAGAGACACGGTCTTACCATGTTGCCCAGGCTGATCTTGAAATCTTGGCCTCAAGCAGTTCTTCTGTCTTGGCCTCCCAAAGCTCTGGGATTACGGCGTGGGCCACCACGCCCTGCCTGTAGTCTCCATTCTTCTCAGTGCCACGGCTGTCTTCCAGTTGTTCCCAGGCTGCTGCTTCCTCAGTCAGGATCCTGTACTGTTTGTGATCTGGAGAGCTCTTCTGGGCTTCACTTTTGCTTGTTCAGAGTCTAACTCTCTGGAGACCTCCTCCAGTGAGGCTTGCTTTATTGCCTTAGTAATGTTCCACCTTTAAGGTGCCCAAATAGTTTTTTGAATGGTGCTTACCATTTATTTGGGTCATCAGTTCCTAGGAGGCTTCCACAGTGCATGTCCTTCCAGGAGTCCAGTGTCTACCTTCCAAAAAAGAATTCCTTGTTACTCAGAAGGACAAGGTCTGGCCTATCCTCTTCCTTCCCAGTGCTACCCAGGTAATAATCGAAAGGTGGTGGTAATTATTCTTGTTTCCATGTAAACTGGGCTTCCTCTTTGGCTTAGTCTTTAAATGTTCCATCTTTTGGCTTTTTTTTTTTAAATGGTACCTCTGTAACACTAATGTTTCTCAATCTAGGCTGTACCGCAGAACACTGATGTGTGGAGCCCAGCCAGTCTGGGGCGATCTTAGAGTGCTTTCAGGGCTGGGCAGGGGTCTCCCCTCTCTGCTTGGGTGTTGGCATCTTCTCCAGGACATCACCTACAGTCCATTTGTTGACTACTCCCAGATTTGAGTCTCTAGCCCTGAACACTCTGCTAAGATCTGGATCTATATTTACTGAGGGTTGGTGGAGTGGGGAGGAGCTCCATGTTTATGTTCAGTAGTTAGTGCAAATCTTAGTGGTTAAAACGGAACTAATTCTCATTCCTCTTCTGTTCCCTCCCTTATTTTCCCTTTCACATTTGATTTAACTTACGTGATTTGAAATAGTTTCTTTTTTTGTTTTTTAAGTCAGGGTCTCACTCTGTTGCCCAGGCTGGAATGCAGTGGCACCGTCACGGCTCACTGCAGCCTTAACCTCCCCGGGCTCAGGTGATCCTCCCACTTCAGCCCCCTGAGTAGTGGGACTACAGGTGCGTACCACCACGCCTGGTTAATTTTTGTATTTTTTGTAGAGACCGGGTTTCACCATGTTGCTCTGGCTGGTCTCGAACTCCTGGGCTCAAGCAGTCTGCCCACCTTGGCCTCCCAAACTGCTGGGATTACAAATGTGAGCCACCGTGCCCTGCCTGAAATAATCTTAAAGACTGTACTTCCCTGTGTTGACTTCTGCTGTCATCCTTTCTTTTTTGGACACTTGGTAATAGCCTTTTTTTTTTTTTTTTTTTTTTTGAGATGCAGTCCCACTCTGTCACCCAGGCTGGAGTGCAGTGGTGCGATCTCCACTCACTGCAACGTCCGCCTCCCAGGTTCAAGCAATTCCCTTGCCTCAGCCTCCCGAGTAGCTGGGACTATAGGTGCGTTGCCACCACATCTGGCTAATTTTTTGTATTTTTAGTAGAGATGGGTTTTCGCTGTGTTAGCCAGGATGGTCTTTATCTCCTGACTTCATGATCCACCCGCTTCGGCCTCCCAAAGTGCTGGGATTACAGGCGTCAGCCACCGTGCCTGGCCAGTAATAGCTTCTTAGTTCACCTTCTCTGTTTCTGTTTTCTGAAACACTTTAAGACACGGGTCAAATGTCGTATTCCCTTGAGTGCCTAAAGATAGTCTGAAACTCCTGGAGCACGGCCCACATGGAGCTGTGAGTTCTGACCACTGTTAGCCTCTTATCATGTGCATTGTGGTAGGGTTTGGACTGAACCCCAGTGCACGTATTCACTGCTCTCCTCTGACTGAAGACTAGAAGAGTCAAAGCTTTCCATTCACTCGTTAAACTTCAGGGGCCCTGAATGTTTTTGGCTCACTTTTTAATTTTATTTTTTATATTATTTTAATTTTTTAAATTTAAATTAAAAATTTTTTTTGACAGGGTCTTGCTCTATTGCCCAGGCTGGAGTACAGTGGAGTGATCTCAACTCACTGCAGCCTCTACCTCCTGGTCTCAAGCAGTTCTCCCACCTCAGCCTCCCAAGTAGCTGGGAGTACAGGCGCGCCACCACCTCTGGCTAATTTTTTGTATTTTTGGTAGAAATGCGGTTTTGCCATGTTGTTCAGGCTGGTCTTGTACTCCTGAGCTCAAACAATTCACCCGCCGTGGCCTCCCAAGTGCTGGGATTACAGGTGTGAGCCACCATGCCCAGCTTTCTGGCCAATTTTACAATTTTTTTGTAGAGACAGGGTCTTGCTATGTTGCTTAGATTGGTTTTGAACTCCTGGGCACAAGTGATTCTCTTGCCTCAGTCTTCCAAGGTGCTGGGATTAGAGATGTGAGTCACTCTATCTGGCCAGGGCTCACTTTTTAGGAAGGAGTTTACCTCTCCCCCACCAGCTGATATTTTTACCAAAAGTCATATGTTTTGGTTCCAAGTATGTTTATGGCAGTTATCCTGTTAGTGATGTGAACAGAAAAAATAACAGTGCTGAGGGAAAGCTGTTCCTTCTACAAAAACTGAAGGATGCTGGCTTGGTTTCTGTCGCTACAGAACAAGTTACCAAACACAAATTTGGCAGCTTGTAACAACAAGCATTTACACTCTCACAGTTTCTGTGGGTCAGGAGTCTGGCCATAGCTTAGTTCTATCCTCTACTTCAGGTGTCACAGGCTGTAGTCAAGGTGTTGGCTAGGGCACGCTGTCATCTGGAGCTCAGGTCCTCATTGGTAGAATTGAATCCATTGTGGTTGTGGGACTGAAACCCTGGGCTCTTGGAGGCTGCCCCTCCCCACAGGCAGTTCATTGGCTGCTTGCTTCTTCAGATTGGAGACCATCTCTTCAGGACAGTGCAGAGGGATGGAAAAAGGGAGAGGCAAATGGAAATCACAAAAGAGCATAGCGGTTATATCAGACCAAATAAATTTCAAGACCAAAACTATAAAAGGAGACCAAAAAAGTCATTATGTAATGATAAAGGGGCCAATTCAGCAAGAGGCTATAACTATTATAAATATATGTATATATGCACTCAACACTAGAGCACCCAGATACATAAAACAAATATTACAGCTAAAGAGAGAGAGAGGCGTTAATACATTAATAGATGGAGGCTTCAACACTCCACTTCAGCATTGGACAGATCAGATCATCCAGACAAAATTAACGAAGAAACATCAAACTTAATCTGCACTGTAGACCAAATGGATTTAATAGATATTTCTAGAACATTTCATCTGATGGCTGCAGAATTTACATTGTTCTCTTTAGCACATGGATCGTCCTCAAGGTTAGACCATATGTTAGGCCACAAAATAAGTCATTAAAAATTGAAACCTTGATACTAAAAGCAGACAAAGACACGTCAAAGAAAGAATACTACAGGCCAATGTCTCTGATGAATATTGATGCAAATATCCTCAACAAAATACTAGCAAACCAAATTCAGCAATACGTTAGAAAGATCGTTCATTGTGATGAAGTGGGGTTTATCCCTGGGGTACAAGGATGGTTCAACATATGCAAATCAATCGATGTGACACATCATGTCAACAGAAGGATAAAAACCATGTGATTATTTCAGTCGATGCTGAAAAGGCATTTGATAAAATTCAACATCCTTTCATGATAAAATCTCTTAAAACTGATTATGGAAGAAACATACCTCAACATAATAAAAGCCGTATATGACAGACCCACAGCTAGTATCATACTGAATGGTGAAAAACTGAAAGTCTTTCCTCTAAGATCTGGAACATGACAAGGATGCTCAGTGTGGCCACCGTTATTCAACATAGTACTGGAAGTTCTTGCTAGAGCAATCAGACAAGAGAAAGAAATAAAAGGCCTCCACATTGGAAAGGAAGAAGTCAAATTATCCTTGTTTGCAGATGATATGATCTTATATGTGGAAAAACCTAAAGACTCCACAAGAAAATGATTAGAGCTGATAAATTCAGTACAGTTGCAGTATACGAAATCAACATACAAAAATCAGTAGCATTTCTGTGTGCCAACAGTAAACAATATGAAAAAAATTAGAAAACTAATCCCATTTATAGTAGCCACACATGAAATTAAGTACCTGGGAAGTAACCAAAGAAGATAATTACAAAGATCTCTGTAATGAAAACTCTAAAACCCTGATGAAAGACATTAAAGAGGACACAAAAGATGGAAAAATATTTCATCTTCATGGATTGGAAGAATCAATATTGTTAAAATGTCCATACTACCCAAAGCAATCTACCGATTGAGTGCAATCCCTAGCAAAATACCAATGACATTCTTCACAGAAACAGAAAAAAAAAAAATCCTAAAATTCATGTTGAACCACAAAAGACCCAGAATAGCCGAAGCTCTCGTAATTAAAAAGAAACAAACTGGAGGAATCAGATTACCTGACTTCAAATTATACTACAGAGCTATAGTAACCAAAACAGCATAGTACTAGCATAAAACAGACACAGACCAACAGAACAGAATAGAGAATCCAGAAACAAATCCGCACATCTACGGTGAACTCATTTTCGACAAAGGTACCAAGAACAAACACTGGGGAAAAGACAATCTCTTCAATAAATGGTGTTGGGAAAACTTGATATTCATATGCAGAAGAATGAAGCTAGATTCCTCTTTTGCCATATAAAAGTTAAAAAAATTATGTTAAGTATCTTCTCTGATCACAATGGACTATAACTAAAAATCAATAACGAGGAATTTTGGAAACTCCACCAACACATGGGAATTAAACAATATGCTCCTGAATGACCAACAGGTCAGTGAAGAAATTAAGAATGAAATTAAACAATTTCTTGAAGCAAATGGCAATGGCAGCACAGCATACGAAACCTGTGGGATATAGTGAAAGCAATACTAAGAGGAAAATCAAAAAAGTAGAAAAACTTCAAATAAATAACCTAATGATACATCTTAAAGAACTAGAAATGAAGGAGCTAACCAAACCCATAATTTTAAGGACAGAAATAATAAAAATTAGAGCAGAAATAAAATGGAGTTGAAATGAAGAAAATAATACAAAAGATCAATGAAATGAAAAGTTGGTTTTTCTAAAAGATAAATTGACAAGCTTTCAGGCAGGCTAAGAGAAAAAGAAGACCCAAATCAGAGGTGAAAAAGTAGGCATTACAACTGATATTGCAGAAATTCAAAGGGTCATTAGAGACTATGAACAGCTATATGTCAATAAATTGGGAAACGTGGAAGAAATAGATAAGTTTGCAGGCTGGGCGTGGTGGCTCATACCTGTAATCCCAGCACCTTGGGAGGCTGAGGCGGGTGGATCGCTTGAGGTCAGGAGTTTGAGACCAGTCTGGCCAACATGGTGAAACTCCATCTCTACTAAAAATACAAAAATTAACCAGGTGTGGTTTTGCGTGCCTGTAATTCCAGCCACTTGGAAGGCTGAGGCACGAGAGTCACTTGAGCCCTGGGAGGGGGAGGTTGCAGTGTGCTGAGATCATGTTACTGCACTCCACCCTGGGTGAAAGAGTGAGACTGTGTCTTCAAAAAAAGAAGGAAAAAGAAATGGATAATTTCACAGGCACATACAGCCTTCCAAGTTTGAACCATGAAGAAATCCAGAACCTGAACATACCAATAACAGGTAATGAGATTGAAACTGTAATAATAAAAAGTCTTCCAGCAAAGAAAAACCCCAGGACCCAGTGACTTCACTGCTGAATTTTACCAAACATTTAAAGAAGAACTATTACCAATCCTAGTGAAACTATTCTGAAAAATAGAGGAGGAGGGAATACTTCCAAACTTATTGTAGAAGGCCAATATTACCCTGATACCAAAACCAGACAAAGACATAATCAAAAAAACAAAACAGGCCAGTATCCCAGATGAACATTGATGCAGAAATACCCAACAAAATACCAGCAAACCGAATTCAACAACACATTAGAAACATCGTTCATCATGACCAAAGTGGGGTTTATCCCAGGGATGCCAGGATGGTTCACCATATCCAAATCAATCAGTTTGATACATCATATCAATAGAATGAAGGATAAAAAACCATATGATCATTTAAATTCATGCTGAAAAGGCATTTGATAAAATTCAACATCCTTTCATGATAAAAACCCCAAAAAACTGGTTATAGAAGGAACACACCTCAACGCAATAAAAGCCATATACAACTGACACACAGCTAGTATCATACTGAAAGGTGAAAAACTGAAAGCCTTTCCTCTAAGATCTGGAACAAGACACGGATGCCCACTGTCACCACTGTTATTCAATATAATAATGGAAGCCCTTGCTAGAGGAGTCAGATAAGAGAGAGAAAGGCCGGGTGCAGTGGCTCACACCTGTAATCCCAGCACTTTGGGAGGCTGAGGTGAGTGGATCACTTGAGGTCAGGAGTTTGAAGCCTGGCCAACATGGTGATACCCTATCTCTACTAAAAATATAAAAATTAGCTAGGCGTGGTGGCGGGTGTCTGTTGTCCCAGCTACTCGGGAGGCTGAGGCAGGGAAATCACTTGAACCCCAGAGGTGGAGATTGCAGTGAGCTGAGATTGTGCCGCTGTATTCCAGCCTGGGCTATGGAGCAAGACTCCATCTCAGAAAAAAAAAAAAAAGAAGAAGAAATAAAGGGCATCCAAATTGGAAATGAAGATGCCAAGTTACTCTTGTTTGCAGATGATTGTTGTATTTGGAAAAACCTAAAAACTCCACCAAAAAATGATTAGAACTGATAAATTCAGTAAAATTGCAGGATACTAAATTAACATACAAAAATCAGTAGCATTTCTCTCTCTCTTTTTTTTTTTTTTTTTTTTTTTTGAGATGGAGTCTCACTCTGTGGCCCAGGCTGGAAAGCAATGGCGCAATCTCGGCTCACTGCAACCTCTGCCTCCTGGGTTCAAGCGATCCGCCTGTGTTAGCCGCCTGAGTAGCTGGGATTACAGGCGCCTGCCACCAGGCCTGGCTAATTTTTGTATTTTTAGTAGAGACAGGGTTTCACCACATTGGCCAGGCTGGTCTCGAACTCCTGACCTCAGGTGATCCGCCTGCCTCGGCCTCCCAAAGTGCTGGGATTACAGGTATGAGCCACTTTGCCCAGCCAAATCAGTAGCATTTCTATATGTCAACAGTGAACAATATGAAAAATAAATCAAGAAAAATAATTCCATTTATAATAGCTACAAATAAAGTAAAATACGTAGGAATAAACCTAACCCAAGAAGTGAAAAGATCTCTACCACGAAAACTGTAAAACATTGATGCAGAAAATTGAAGAAGACACACAGAAAAGGAAAAGATACTCTGTGTTCATGGATTGGAAGAATCAATATTGTTAAAATGTCTGTACTACCCAAAGCAATCTACAGGTTCAATGTAATCCCTATCAAAATACCAATGACATTCTTCACAGAAATAGAAAAAAAAATCCTGAAATTTGTATGGAATCACAAGAGACAGAATAGCCAAAGCCATCCTGAGCAAAAAACAAAACTGGAGAAATTGCATTACCTGACTTAAAATTATACTACAGTCACTTCCTGGTCTTTTTTGGCTTAGATCAAGTGCAAAGTTTACTAGAAAGGTATACCAAAACAGCATGGTACTGGTATAAAAACAGACACCTAGACCAATGGAACAGAATAGAGAACCCAGAAACAGATCTATACATCTACAGTGAACTCACCTTTGACAGAGGTGCCCGGAGGATACATGAGGGAAAGGATAGCCTCATTGATAAATGGTGCTGGGAAAATGGGGCACCCATATGCAGAAAAATGAAACTAGACCACTATCTCTCACCATATACGAAAATCACATCAAAATGGAGTAAAGACTTAAACCTAAGACTTCAGACTATGAAAGTGCTAAAAGAAAACATTGGGGAGACTCTCCAGGACATTGCACTGGGTAGTGATTTCTTGAGTAATACTTCGTAAACACAGGCAACCAAAGCTAAAATGGACAAGTGGGATCACATTGAGTTAAAAAGCTGCACAGCAAAGGAAACAATCAACAAAATGAAGAGACAACCCACAGAATGGGAGAAAATATTTGCAAACTACCCATCTGACAAAGGATTAATAACCAGAATATATAATTAGCTTAAGCAACTCTATAGGAAAAAAATCTAATAATCCAATAAGAATGGGCAAAAGATTTGAATAGACATTTCTCAAAAGAAGATATACAAATGACAAACAGGCAGTACGAACAGGTGCTCAACATGGTTGGTCATCAGAGACATGCAAATCAAAACTATAATGAGATATTATCTCACCCTAATTAAAATGGCTTATATCCAAAAGACAAGAACAAATGCTGGCAAGAATATAGAGAAAAGGGAACCCTTGTGCACTGTTGGTGGGAATGTAAATTAGCACAGCCATTATGGAGATTAGCTTGGAGGTTCCTCAAAAAACTAAAAATAGGACTATCATATGATTCAGCAATCCCACTGGTAGGTATATACCCAGAGGAAAGAATATCAGTATGTTGAAGAAATATGTACACTCTCATGTTTATTGCAGCACTATTCTCAATAGCCAAGATTTGGAAGCAACCTAAGTGTTCCCAGCAGATGAATGGATGAAGAAAATGTGGTATATATACTCAACGGAGTACTATTCAACCATGAAAAAGAATGGGATACTGCCGTTTGCAACAACATGGATAGAACTGGAGGTCGTTATGTTAAGTCAGGAACAGAATGTCATGAGCCAGACCCAGAAAATCGAACTTTGCATGTTCTCACTTATTTGTAGGTGCTAAGCAAATGAAAGTAATTGAACTCATGGAGATAGAGTAGAATGATGGTTATCAGAGACTGGGAAGGATAAAGTGGGGGTGAAGTGCGGATGGTTAATGGGTATAAAAATGGAGTTAGATAGGGCTGGGCACAGTGGCTTACGCCTGTAATCCCAGCTCTTTGGGAGGCCAAGTCAGGTGGATCATGAGGTCAAGAGACCCAGACCATCCTGGCCAACACGGTGAAACCCCATCTCTACCAAAAATACAAAAATTAGCTGGGTGTGGTGGTGTGAGCCTGTAGTCCCAGCTACTTGGGAGGCTGAGGCAGGAGAAACCCTTGAACCCAGAAGGCAAAGGTTGCAGTGAGCTGAGATCGCACAACTGCACTCCAGCTTAGTGCCAGAACGAGATCCGTCTCCAAAAAAAAAAAAGAGTTAGATAGAATATATAACCCATATATATATACATACAACTAGTGTGTATCCACAGAAGTTAAAAAAAAAAAAAAGATGGGCAAACATCTGTCTCTTTTAATTAAAAATGGCTTTTGTTTTGCCAGACAAGGGAGCTTCTGTCACATACGCAGTTTTCAGAATGGATGCCTTCCCCCAGTGTCTGAAATGCTCCCTTTTCCTGTTCTGGGAAGCCTTTTCTGACTCACAAATGTTGACAAGCAAAGGCGTTTTTGATTTTGATGCTCACAGTTATTATAATTATTATAAATTTGGCCAGGAGTCCCTATCATCTTTGAACAGCTGCTTTTTTTTTTTTTTTTTTTTTTTTTTTTTGAGAAAAAGTCTTGCTCTGTCACCCAGGCTGGAGTGCAGTGGCACAGTCTTGGCCCACTGTAACCTCCGCCTCCTGGGTTCAGGCTATTCTCCTGCCTCAGCCTCCCAAGTAGCTGGGATTATGGGCGCCTGCCACCATGCCCAGCTAATTTTTGTATTTTTAAAAAAGATGGGGTTTCGGCATGTTGGCTAGGCTGGTCTCGAACTCCTGACCTCAAGTGATCTGCCCGCCTCAGCCTCCCAAAATGCTAGGATTATAGGCGTGAGCCACCGCACCTGGCCATGTTTGAGGAAACAGCTTTTTCTTTGAGGAAACAGGCTCATCTTTGTCTGCCCTGGCCCTTGAATCTACTTATTTTCCCAAGAGCCCTAGCGTCTTTTATCGGGAAATGGTTCTAAGAGACCAAAATCTGGGTGCCGCTGTCAGATTGCCTTTGATTCTAGTCCTTTAAAAAACAGAGTAAGCAAATATATTCAAAAATAAAGTTCATAGATTTCCAATTTAAGTTGTTTTTCAAAATTTCTTTGATTTTTTTTCCTCTTTTCCACTGAAAACCTTAATTTTTTTTTTTTTTTTTTTTTTTTTTTTTTTTTTTGAGATGGAGTCTCGTTCTGTTTACCCAGGCTGGAGCACAGTGACATAATCTCGGCTCACTGAAACCTCTGCCTCCTGGGTTCATGCTAGTCTTCTGCTTCAGCCTCCCGAGTGACTGGGATTACAGGCATGCACCAGCACACCCGGCTAATTTTTCATATTTTTAGTAGAGATGGGGTTTCACCATGTTGGCCAGGCTGGTCATGAACTCCTGATCTCAAGTGATTTACCTGCCTTGGCCTGCCAAATGCTGGGATTACGGGTGTGAGCCACCATGGCCGGCCTAAAACCTTAATTTCTGAGAACATTTAATACTTTATCATAAACATGTTTTATTGTATTTACACTGCTTTATTGTGCAACATGAAGTAGTTCTAAAATTGTGAGAGTGTTATCAATACCGATAAATATTTTATTTTTCATTATAGTATATTCTATTAATGATATGTAGTTCAAAAGTCCCTTGACATACTTTTCTTTGTATATGCATGGGTTAATTTGCTTGTTGCCAGTTGTAGGTTTTGCTTTTTTATGATTTAATTTTAATTTTTGAGGATGAAAGTCATGTATGTTTCAGAAGTAAAGACATCTAAAGTATACTCACAATGTTGTTGCTTTTTCTGGTCCTGCTGCCTTTGTCCATGTCCCCTCCCCATTTCCCCGTAGGTAGTCATTGGTACTTGCTTTCGGTTTATCTTTTCAGAGCATATGCACGTGTGTGTGTTTGTGTGTGTGTCTTTTTTTTCTTTTTTTTTTTTTTTAACACCGAGTCTCGCTCTTATCAACTCAGGCTGAGTGCTGTGGCGCGATCTTGGCTCACTGCAACCTCTGCCTCCTGGGTTCAAGCAATTCTCTTGCCTCGGCTTCGTGAGTAGCTGGGATTATAGGCGCCCGCCACCACGCCTGGCTAATTTTTTGTATTTTTAGTTGGGACGGCGTTTCACCGTGTTGGCCAGGCTGGTCTCAAATTCCTGATCCCCCGTGATGTGCCCCGCTCGGCCTCCCAAAGTGCTGGGATGACAAGCATGAGCCACCTCGCCTGACCACGTGTCATTTTTCTTGTATGTTACATAAGAGGTAGAATAGTATTTATACTATTATGCACCTTTTCATTTATATTTCTTGGATGACTTTCATGAAATGTAAAATGATTAAGTCACTAATTCAGTAAATCATTGATTTTATTACCGAATGATCGAATACATAAGGGGGATTGAGATTTTTTCCCATATCATTCTTTAAAAATTGCAGTGTGAGTGTGAGCTTATCTCGTTTATCATTGCCAGCTTGCATTCACAAGAGATGGGCTCTGTGGTCTGTGGAATGAAATGGTTAAAGATGGAGAAATTGTATACACTGGAACAGAATCAACCCAGAACGGATAGCTCCCTCCTGGAAAAGGTAAGGGCCTTTAACTAGTGTTTTTTATTTGGTAAAGACCATTATAAAATGCATTTTATAGAAATTTTGTAATGTGCTATAGGAACAGGAGCTTTGAGCTTAACTCTTTGAAGTTTTGCTTTTTACTTTGGAGATTGTTGTCTAAAATGGTAGTTAATACAAGCTGCCCGGATTTTATTGTTTTACGTGAATTGAAGGCATTTTTATTGCAAAACCGTCTTGCTGCATTTGTGGTGTTCTTTGGGGGTGTATTAAACACTTATTGGAAGCCTTTGGCCTGCAAGGAAATGCCATTGAACAATCTTATTTAGCGTTGTAGTTTTGCATGCTCAATAGGACTATCATTAGGTTGTTCATAACAGTGGCTGTGTTTCAGAGTCCCCATTGAGGTTTAAAAAAATGGATGCTTGTATACACCCTAAACTTGTTGAATCTGAAAAGATCCTTGGTTGAGAACCACTGTTGAAGTTCGTTGGTCCCCCTGCTTGAGAGTCATCAACGTGGATAAAGCTACCACTTTAGAAAGTATTTATTCTAAGTTGAAATAGCTCAGTTGGGAGAGCATTAGTCTGAAGAAAGTATTTCTTCTTCTTTTTTTTTTTTTTTGGGAAGGAGTCTTGCTCTGTCGCTGAGGCTGGAGTGCAGTGGCGCGATCTCAGCTCACTGCAAGCTCCACCTCCTGGGTTCATGCCATTCTCCTGCCTCAGCCTCCCAAGTAGCTGGGACTACAGGTGTCCACCACCACGCCCGGCTAATTTTTTGTATTTTTTAGTAGAGACAGGGTTTCACCGTGTTAGCCAGGATGGTCTCAATCTCCTGACCTCGTGATCCGCCCGCCTCAGCCTCCCAAAGTGCTGGGATTATAGGCGTGAGCCACCGTGCCTGGCAAGTATTTATTCTTCTTTTGTGGAATGAATTGGGATGGTGTCCACTTGAAAATACTTGGGGACCGGGCGCGGTGGATCGTGCCTGTAATTCCAGCACTTTGGGAGGCTGAGGCGGGCAGATCATTTGAGGTTGGGAGTTTGAGACCAGCCTGGCCAACATGGTGAAACCCCGTCTCTACTAAAAAATACAAAAATTAGCCAGGCATAGTGGCGGGCGCCTGTAATCCCAGCTACTTGGGAGGGCACGGCAGGAGAATTGCTTGGAGCCGGGAGGTGGAGGTTGCAGTGAGCAGATATTGTGCTACTGCACTCCAGCCTGGGTGACAGAGTGAGACTCCATCTCAAAAAAAAAAAAACAAAAAACACAAAACAAACCATGGGAAAAAGTATTAGTCTCCCTCTTCAGTTTCAGTGTCAAGCAGAGTTACCTGTGTTTTTATTTTAATTTATTTTTTATATTTGTTTGAAAATATTCACACACACACACACACACACACACACACACACACACAATAACTGACAGACGTGTACAGTGAGTGGCTGCAGACCCACCTCCATGTTCTGCCACCGTATTTGGCTCCACATCCTGCTGTCTGTCCATCCACCGTTTGTCTCACCTAGCTCCTTAGACACTCATGTATGTAATTGATTCTAGTTCAACTTTGTTTTTGACTTTCAGGTAAAATTTATATATAATGAAATGTATCTATTTTGAGTTTACCATTTCACAAGTTTTGACAAATGTAACCCGTGTAACCCACATCTTTATCATGACTCTTGCTCAGAAAGTTCTCTGGTGTCCTGCCCCTTCTTCCCAGAGGCAATAGCTGGCCTGATGTTTCTCCAGCATTGACAAATTGCGCCTGTTCTAGAACTCCATACATGGAATCATGTAGTCGGGTTCTTCTGTGTCTTGGCTTCTTTCACTCTGTTTAGTGCTTTTGATTTTCATGTTTTTTTTTTTTAAACAACATAATGGGTTTATATTTAATATAGCACTTCTCATCAGGAGGTGTTACTCAGTTAATATAAAGTTTTTATTAACATTAAATCTCTTTTCCATGTCAATGTCTATAGTGTTTTTTTTTTCTTTAACATTAAGTCTTTTCTCCATTTCAGTATTAGATACACTGAATACATTTTTCTAAATGATTTTTTTTCTTTCCAGAGATAAAAGTTTCCCTTTTTGGCTGACTATTGGATATCTGAATTTGGGAGATGACAAAAGTCTAATAAAAATACAGAGAACAGACTCAGTGATTTAGGAGGCAGTGATTACGACTGAACAGTGGCGATTTCCTAGGATTCTGGGCAAAATCCATTTATGTACCAATTTGTTCCCATTTCATGGAATCAACTCAGAAAGTAAAACTCTCCTACTTACTAATTCTTGGAAACTTTCAGACACCAAAGCTTACATTTAGTTTCAGTAGCACAAAGGTTTTCAGGGTGAGGTTTCATTCATTAGGCCCTTCAAAGTCACATCTGTTCATTTTTATCTTTCGTGCGTATACCCGCAAGCAAGTACAAACACCTGTAATACTGAGAACCACACCTTTTAACGAGAGAGCAGTTGCATCACTGGCTTCCACTGCCTTGACAGCAGGCAGCACCAAAAGCAGTGACATAAGGACTAAGGACAATTGTGTTGAAACTGAGGTCATGATGTTGGGATTTTGAGGGCTGAATGTTCCAAGTAAGTGGTATATATAGAATTCTCTCTGACTTGAAATTTTCCCTTTCTGGACCTCTGGATGCTGAGGCTAAGAGTGTCCATATGACAGTGTCTTCCAAGACAGGAATCAGCAACCTTTTTTTGTTTTTCTGTATCAGTAATTCATTCTGTATATTTTAAAAAGTTTTAACCTCTTCTTCCTAGCCCTCCAGTATTTGTTTATAAATTAAAACGTTTCCCAAAGTGTTTTCTGTGAAACAATAGTTCTAAAAGGTGCTCTAAGAAAAGCTAAGTACATGGCAAAATCCAAAGTATATGTTTTATTCATTACATTTGATGAATTTTTTTTGTTTTTTCCTCTCGAGAGGGAGTCTTGTTCTGTCGCTCAGGCTGGGGTGCAGCGGCATGATTTTGGCTCACTGCAACCCCTTCCTCTCGGGTTCAAGCAGTTCTCTGCCTCAGCCTCCTGAGTACTCAGCTAGGATTACAGGCGCCCTCCACCATGCCCAGCTAATTGTTGAATTTTTAGTAAAGACGGAGTTTCACCATCTTGGTCAGGCTGGTCTTGAACTCCTGACCTCATAACCCACCTCGGCCTCCCAAAGTGCTGGGTTTACAGGTGTGAGCCACCATGCCCAGCCCACATTTGATGAATTTTTTTGTCTTTTGTTCTTTTAAAAATCATGGTTGGAAAGCAGAGCATAATTGTTCTTTATGTAGATCCCAACTGATTGGGATTGTTAGGGAGATGTTTTGGCATTCAGTAAATGTTTTTGTTTTCCATTATTAAGACTATGAATATTTTATTTTATTTTCTGAGACAGGGTCTCAGAATTTGTCAAATTTGTAAAATTTATAGCCAGATGTAGGGTAGGGGTGGCCTACTTTCTGTAAAGGGCCAGATAGTAAATATTTTAAGCTCTCAATGGACCCTATGGTCTCTGTCATAGCCATGGGACCTTGCAGCTGTAGTGCCAGAGTAGCCACAGACAATACTACGTCAGCGGGCTGGGGACGTTCATTCTGTAAACTTTATTTATGGACACGAAAAGATGAAGTCCACAGAATGTTTGCAAGTCACAAAATACTGTTTTTCTTTTGATTATTTTTCAATTATTAAAAACTATAAAATACGGTGGCTGGGCGTGGTGGCTCACACCTGTAATCCCAGCACTTTTGGAGGCTGAGGCAGGCGGATCACCTGAGGTCAGGAGTTCGAGACCAGCCTGGCCAACATGGTGAAACCCCATCTCTACTGAAAACAAAAAATTAGCCGGGCATGGTGATGCACCCCTGTAATCCCAGCTCCTCGGAGGTTGAGGCATGAGAATCACTTGAACCTGGGAGAATCGCTTGAGCCTGGGAGGCAGAGGTTGTGGTGAGCCAAGACTCCATCTCAAAAGAACAACAAAACTAAAATACTTTCTCTGTGTTCAGACCATACACAAAAAGGCTGTGGGCTGGGTTTGTCCTGTGGGCTGTGGTTAGTGACCACACACACACACACACACACACACACACACACGGCAGAGTCTGGCATTCAGAGCCAGCACCTGTGTTCTCACCTGAGCCGTGTTCCTGGCTGGGTTCTACTCTGTATTCTGTGACTCGAGGTGTCTACCTTGGTAAACTGGAGGCTGTTTTAGTTTGCATTCCCGCTGACAATCTGTCACGTTTCTGTTGCTCTGTGTCTTTGTTAGCACTTGGTGTTATCAGTGATTTTTAGTTGAGCCATTCTAACAAGTCTAGTGGGATCTCATTGTGGTTTTAATTTGCAATTCTGTAATGGCTAACAATGCTGAATATCATGTTCTTTTTTGCCACTCTTGTATCCTCTGTGAGTTTCTGTTCAGATCTTTTGCACAGAAAAAGCTGTATCATGGAACCAGTAAAATAACCAAGGAGAGGTTGATTAAAGTTCTGTTTATAACCCTAGAAGATTCCTGCCCTAGGGATATGGGATGGCTGAACGTAGGACACCGACACTGGACAGATGAAATAGCAGTTTATTAGTCACGCATGCTCACAGCCCTGGGGTGGGGGACACCGCATGCCACACGGGGGCTGCACTTGGGAACAGAGCGAACCACGAGGGGCTGTGGGAGGCACATTTTGTAGTAACAGGAGGGTGAGATGACCTTGCTTCCATGGGAAGATGTGACTGGCTTGTTTGAATAACTCTGGGCCGGCAGGGATGAGCAGGCTGGGGTCGGGTTTCCGCGATAAGGAGGTTGTTTGGCTTTGGGATCTTATCCGTGAGAGCAGAGCTCAGGGGAGACCTTGTGGTTAGGCTATTTGAGGCCTTCTTGATTTTACCAATGTCAAGGCAGCACGTAATATTTAGTCTTAATTTCAGGCCACACGAGAAATTCTTCTGTATCTACTTTCCGTGGCACTTTTCAAAAGGTTTTGTCCTTAGTGTTTAGCAGTTGATTATGATGTGCCTCGTCATGGCTTCCTTTGGATTTATCTTGTGTGGGCTTTGTGCAGATTCTTCAGTCTGCCTGGGTTTATGTCATTTGCTGAACCTAGGAAGTTTTCAGCCATTAGTTCTTTGGATATTTTTTTCAGCATTCACCTTTTCTCTCTTGTTATTAACCTGTGGGGTCTGTGCTAATTCTAGGTAGTTAGTTTCAGAATTGAATTGCACTGTGGGACACAAAGCTGGGTGTCGCAGAGAACTGGAGAATTGCTTGGTGCAAAAGTCCATACATTTGGTGTCAGAAGTGTTATAAACAGAGGAACTGTTTCCTTCGAGATTTTTAGATAGTCATTATTTGTAATCTGGATGGGATATCATGTCTTTCCCCGATTGAGATACATTTTTCTAATTATGTTGTTAGACATTTAGTCACAGCCTTCTGTGATGGAATGTGTTTACACTTCAAGGTTAAGGTTAGTTCTCTCTTCTCTTCGCTTACTGTGTAAGGAGTTTTATGACAGTTGTTTTTGACTGAAACTTGACATTGTCAGTGGCCTAAAGTGATTTTTCTCAGCTTTTCCTTTGTGTCCCAGTGCTCTTGAATTATGCCAGCAGTGACAGTGCCCCTGCATAGCAGTGCTTCCCAGTTGGCAGTGGAGTAGGGCCTTGTAAAGAGTTAAAAGATTTTTGAATCATACTCTTGTTCTACACCCTCCCTTTTCCCATGGATACACAAGCACTGGGACTCACTGGATAAAAGCAATTGGTGTGAAATTGAAGTAGGTAAATATGAAAGACTTAAGTTTCTCAGTTAAGAAATGTACTAGGAAGTAGATGGAATATCATTTTGGAAGACATCCTTTAAATAATTTGTTGTATTGGTTTCTTTTTTTTTTTTTTTTGAGATGGAGTCTCGCTCTGTCACCCAGGCTGGAGTGCAGTGGCATGATCTCAGCACACTGCAAGCTCTGCCTCCCAGGTTCACACCATTCTCCTGCCTCAGCCTCCCGAGTAGCTGGGAATACAGGCGCCTGCCATCATGCTCAGCTAATTTTTTGTATTTTTAGTAGAGACGAGGTTTCACCGTGTTAGCCAGGATGGTGTCGATATCCTGACCTCCTGATCCACCCGCCATGGCTTCCCAAAGTGCTGGGATTACAGGCATGAGCCACCACGCCCGGCCAATATATTGGTTTCTTTATGAAAATTATACTGGATCTGTTACAGGTATGATTGATGTATTTTATTTTTAAGTTGTCAAGCATTCAGTTAATCATGTGTGTTGTAACTTTTCGGGGAGGGACATTTGCAGAGGCTAACGGTATGACATTCTGAAAAGCGGTGACAGATTAAAAAATTTTTAATTCTGCAGATGATAGTGTCGAACCAAGTGGGACAAAGAAAGATCTGAATGACAAAGAGAAAAAAGATGAAGAAGAAACTCCTGCACCTATATATAGGGCCAAGTCAATTCTGGACAGCTGGGTATGGGGCAAGCAACCAGGTGATCTTGCGAATTTTGGCACTTTGGAAAGGTTGATCTGACACTCCCTTTCTAAATAACTTGAATGGATTCTTAGTATTTTTTTGGTAACAATTTTTTAAAAACTAATTAAAAAATTTAAATATTGTGGTAAAATATACATACCATGTAACTTACCGTTTTAACCAGTTTTATGTGTACAGTTCATTGGCATTAAATATATTGACATTGTTGCCCAGCCATCACGCTTGACTAATTAGAGACAGAATCTCACTGTGTTGCCCAGGCCGGTCTTATACTCCTGGCTTCACGGGATCTTCCTGCCTCAGACTCCTGAGTTGCTGAGATTTCAGATGTGAGCCATCGCACCTGGCACTATGTGTAACTTTTTGAGGAAGCAGTAAACTGTTTTCCACAGTGGCTACATTGTTTTACATTCTTGCAGCAGTATACTAAGGTTCCAATTTCTCCACACCCTCACCAACACTTTTTGTTTTCTGATGATAGCCATCCTAATTTGTGTGAGTAGGTACAGCATCTCATTGTTTTGATTTATATTTCCCTGTTGATTAGTCATGCTGAGCATCTTTTTACATGCTTATTGGCCATTTGTATACATTCACTGGAGAAATGTCTATTCAAATCCTTTGCCCGTTTTTTGTTTTTTTTTTTTTTTGGGGAGATGGAGTTTGGCTCTTGTTGCCCACGCTGGAGTGCAGTGGTGCAATCTTGGCTCATTGCAACCTCCACCTCCCAGGTTCAAGTGATTCTCCTGCCTCATCCTCCCGAGTAGCTGGGATTACAGGTGTCCGCCACCGTGCCTGGCTAATTTTTTGTATTTTTAGTAGAGACGAAGTTTCACTATGTTAGCCAGGCTGGTCTTGAACTCCTGACTTCAGGTGATCCACCCACCTTGGCCTCCTAAAGTGCTGTATTACAGGTATGAGCCACTGTTCCTGGCCCTTTTGCCCTTTCTTTTTTTTTTTTTTTTTTTTGGAGACAGAGTCTTGTTCTGTCACCCAGGCTGGAGTACAGTGGCATGATCTTGGCTTACTGCAACCTCCACCTTCCGGGTTCACGCCATTCTCCTGCCTCAGCCTCCCGAGTAGCTGGGACTACAGGCGGGCACCACCACACCCAGCTAATTCCATTTTTTAATTGAGTTTTTTGTTTTGGGTTATAGGAGTTCCTTATCATGGATGGACTTTCATAATCTCTTCCCTTTCTCCAACCCAGTAAAACCCATATATTTATTCTTTGCTTACTTTTTTGTGTGTAATTGAATTTTTTAAAATGTCTGATGCATTTTCGTTCCAATTAAAAATATACATCAAATAAATGTTTTCTTATAAAAATGTATCGATTATAAAAGCAGAAATTTCACCTGGCTGCCCACCCCAATTTCAGTTTTCCTCTAAGAGTTAGCCACTATTATCCCTTCAGAGTGGATATTCAGGCTTTTCTTTCCTGGCATGGACATACATATGTAAATGTACATATATAAAAATAATTAGTGACACCATGCATGGTAGCTCACGCCTGTAATCCCAGCACTTTGGGACGCTGAGGTGAGAGAATTGCTTGAGGCCATCAGTTTGAAGCTGCAGTGATCTATGATTGTGCCTCTACACTCCAGCCTGGGTGACAGGGTGAGACCCTGTCTCTTAAAAAAAAATTCGTATTTGGGGTTAGTAGTAGTACCTACCTCATAGGTTATTATGGGATCAGTACAGTAGGCCAGACAAAGTGCGTATGCTATTATTTTGCATGTAGTAAGTACCAGCATATACTACCTGTTATCCAGAAATTTGCTGAAATGTGCCTTGTATTTTCTCTCTTTCGATTTTGATCAGTCTTCCTAGAAGTCATCAGTTTGAGTTTTTTCAAAGAACCAGTTGTTGGTTTTATTGATTTTGTTTGTTTTCTTTTTCATTGATTTCTGCTTTACTCTTTATTATTTCCTTTTTTCTGCTGGCTTTGGGTTCCATTTGTTCTTCTGTCTCTTCTAGTTTCTTAAGGTAAAGGCTTAGATCATTGACTTCAGATTTTTTGTCTTTTCTAACAAGTGTTCAAGACTATAATATAAATTTCCCTCTAAGCATTGTTTAGCCACATTTCACAAATTTGGAAATGTTTATTCATTTTCATCTTCATTCAGTTGAAAATATTTTCTAATTTCCCTTTTAATTTCTTCTTTTACTCACTTATTATTTGGAAATGTGTTATTTCATTTCCAAATATTTGGGGATTTTCAAATATCTCCTGTTAACAATTTCTAAATTAGTTGTAGTCAGAGAACATATTCTGTGATTTCAATGCTGAGGCTTGTCTGAAGCCCCAGAATATGGTGCATTCTGTGGAATGTTTCATGCACATGTAATAAGAATGTGGCTGGGTGCAGTGGCTCCTGCCTGTAATCTCAACACTTTGGGAGGCTGAGGTGGGTGGATTACTTGAGGTCAGGAGTTCGAGACCAGCCTGGCCAACATAGTGAAACCCTGTCTCTACGAAACATACAAAAATTAGCTGGGTGTGGTGGTGGGTGCCTGTAATCTCGATTGCACCCCTGCACTTTAGTCTGGGTGACAAAGCAAGACTACATCTCAAAAAAAAAAAAAAAGTGTATTTTGCTGCTCTGTAAAGCTTAGTGAGATCAAGTTGATAGTGTTCAGGTATCCTTGACTTGAAATAGTTTTCTGCCTGCTTGTTCTAGTCACTGTTAGGAGAGGAGTTGAACTAACACACAAGGTTGGCTTACCACATTAGTTTGACATGAATCTCAGAGATGTTACCCGTAGCTGATTACTTAGTAACTTTAAAGATACAAGTAATATCCTCACTTGTGTGCTCAGGCAAAGTGGGGAGAGATGTGGGAGAGTCTGTGCAACCCCCGCAGGTCCATCCTCTTTGAGCCCGGCCTGCGAGATGAGACCTCTCACTGAGGCGTGTGGTCCTCTCACTGAGGTGTGTCGTCATCTCACTGCACAAGGAGCATTAAGGATGTGCAGTGTTCCCGTTTTGTAGTCAGATAGTTTATACACCTTAGGGAACCTTTTCCAGGGAGCCATGTCCCATAAGTCCATGGATTTTAGGTATGTTTACCAAACACAATCCTAAACTAACCACATCTTGCTAAAAACATTTCATAGATAAGGACACTTCTCCTAGCAAATACCAGTCATTTATTTACAGAGAAGCCAGTCTCAGTGTTCTGGGAGATCAGCCCCAGTGACTGGCTTTATTTCCCAGGAGTATCTCCATTGTGCTGGGGAGGCATGAAGAGCAATTTCACTGCTTAGTTCCTCTTTCTTCTGAGGAGAATTGAAATCTCTCATGCTAATTATGGATTATTTTCTTTCAGCTCTGCAGGTTTTGCTTCATGTATTTGAGAATGTTATAAGGTGCATGCACTTTTAGGATTTTTACGCCATATTCATAAATTTGACCCCCTTAATCTCCGGTGACATTCTTTGTTGTGAAGTCACCTTGGTCTGACTACTCTCCTTTCTTCTGATTTGGTGTTTGCGTGGTGTGTTTGCCAGGTTTAGCTTTTTTCACTTTCAAACTTTGTGTATGTGTAAAGTAGATTTCTTTCAGGTATCATTTAATTAGGTCTTGCTTCTTTATTCACCCTGACAACCTCTGTTTTTTATTTGGAATCTTTAGACTACTTGGGTTTAAATCTATCATCTCTGGCGTTTTCAGTTACATCTTTCACTTGTCACTGCCCACTCTCAAATGGTATTACACTGCCTGAGCCGCGGGGCAGTGCTCTGACTGTAGCTTCCTGCTTCTCACATGTTCTTGGTTGGTAGTGTTGCTGTGTCATGTCCAAGTGAAACATGGTATAAACCCCACAATATGATGTTTTTGTTTTTGCTTTAAATAGGCAATTACATTTTTTCCCCTCAAATTTGAAAAGAGAAAAAAAAGTCTTTTTTTTTTTGAGACGGAGTTTTGCTGTTGTTGCCCAGACTGGAGTGTAATGGCACAATCTCAGCTCACTGCAACCTCCGCCACCCAGGTTCAAGCGAGTCTCCTGCCTCAGCCTCCCTAGTAGCTGGGATTACAGACACACACCACCGTGCCTGGCTAACGTTTTTGTATTTTTAGTAGAGACAGGGTTTCACTATGTTTGCCAGGCTCGCCTCGAACTCCTGACCTTAGGTGATCCACGTGCCTCAGCCACCCTTAAGTGCTGGGATTATAGGATTATAGGTGTGAGCCACCACACCTGGCCTCTTTTTTTTTTTTTTTTTGAGGCGGAGTTTTGGTCTTGTTGCCCAGGCTGCCAGGATGGAGTGCAATGGCATGATCTTGGCTCACTGCAGCCTCTGCCTCCTGGGTTCAAACGATTCTGGCTCAGCCTCCCGAGTAGCTGGGATTACAGGCATACGCCACCACACCTGGCTAATTTTGTATTTTTGAGTAGAGACATGGTTTCGTCATGTTGGTCAGGCTGGTTTCGAACTCCTGACCTCAGGTGATCCACCCACCTCGGCCTCCCAAAGAGCCACCATGGCTGGCCAAAAAAAAGTTTTTTATGTTAACTTTCATTTTACCATTATGGGCCCTTAAGGTTTTGTTTCTGTCCCAGCTACCTTGTGTTATCATGTTCCTTCAGTTTGAAGATCTCCCTTTACCATTTCTAGATTTTCTGACAGAGAAGTTTTTCAGTCTGTCTGGGTATCAATTTTGGCTTTATCTCTGACTCTACACAAATCACTTTGTCTCACCTTGGGCCTCTCATGTATAAAATAGGAATAAGTGGCCAGGTGCAGAGGCTCATGCCTGTAATCCCAGCACTTTGGGAGGCTGAGACGGGCGGATCATGAGGTCAGGAGATCGAGACCATCCTGGCTAACGTGGTGAAACCCTGTCTCTACTAAAGATACAAAAAAATTAGCTGGGCGTGGTGGTGGGCACCTGTAGTCCCAGCTACTCGGGAAGCTCAGGCAGGAGAATGGCATGAACCCAGGAGGCGGAGCTTGCAGTGAGCCAAGATTGCACCACCACTGTAGCCTGGGTGACAGGGTGAGACTCCATCTCAAAACAAAAAAAACAAACAAAAAAAAGGAATAAGTATAATATAATGTAAATAATTAAAATTATATATAAAATAAGTGAAAGTACTTACTCAGAGAGTTGCTGTGCAAATGACATGAAATAATGCATTTGAAGCTCTTAAGTCAGTGCCTGGCACAAATGTTTGATAAAGATTTGTTGTGATTTTAAAAATCTGTTATTTTGCCTTTCTCCATGTTTCCCCTCACCTAGGTATCAAAGTACCTACAGTTATGGGTGGGTAACTAGACTAAAAATGTACCTTTCTTGCTCAGATTAAAGCCCGGCTTATTGACTCAGGGCAGCTTTAATCGGTTTATTTGGAAGCTCTGCTTGTTCACAGGTACAGAGCTTTTGCAGAACCGACTCTGTACCTGGCAGCCTTGAAGGGGCTTGGATTCAAAGCATATTCTTGAGCCACGCCATCTTTAATCAAACTGCAGGTGGAATTTGTAGCTGTTAGAATAGCTCCTATTCCTTTCATTTCTTTTTCTGTTTTTTTACTCTTCCATCTCAGCCTAAAAAGAAAAACACGTTAATTTGAGCCATAGGAATTTAGAATTTGTTTTTTCTTTTGCTTAGATATGTTTGACTAAAGCTTCCTTTTTCACAGGTTTATTTTTTCCAACATTTTATTATGAAAAAAATATATACAGAAAAGTTGAAAGAATTTTACAGCGCGCACCCACATATTCACCACCTAAGATTGTGCCGCTGGCATCATCCCACGTGCTTTATCACCGTTCTCTCCACCTTTTCATCCTTCTATTCATCCATCAGTCCCTCACATTTTTTTTGCAATGTTTCCAAGGAGACCTCTGGACACTTGCTTCTCAACATTGCAGCGTGTAGGCCCTCAGCAGGAGTTCAGAAGTGCACATTTCACAGTGAACCTTCTGAGAGTGTTGACAGATCACAGCTTTTCTTTTTGTCTAATGAAAAGGGCTTGCTGGCCATTGGGTGTTGTAATCTCTTAGGAGAGTAAACTCTTAGTAACTATCTAAATCATTCTTAATGATTCTCTCTGCTGTATAAATAGGTCTGGGAGGACCCTTTCTGACATTCTTGTTGGCATAGGTTTTAGCTTAAGGTGTTGTAAATGCTGTTTATCAAGATGATGAAGTTCCCATTTGTTGCTATTTTCTGAGAATTTTTATCATTCACGAGTATTGAATTTTGTCATTTGCTTTTTCTAAATCAATTGATATGTAATTATGTGATTTTTGTTCTTTAGTCTATTAATAGGGTGGGTTACATTGATATTTGACTGTTGAACCAGCTTTGCATTCCTGGAATGAAACTACTTGGCGATGATGTGGAATTCTTTTTATATATTGTTTACTTCTACTTGCTAATAATTCACTGAATATTTTTGTGTCTATATATATATTAAGGTATATTGTTCTGTAGTTTGTACTGTCTTTAGTTACGGTACCTAATATTAGCTTCTTAAAATGCTAATATTAGCTCTAATATTAGCTTCTTAAAATGCTAATATTGGCTCTAATATTAGCTTCTTAAAATGCTAATATTGGCTCTAATATTAGCTTCTTAATATGAATTGGGAAGTTTTTCCTTTTCTAGTTTCCAGAAGAGATTGTTTTGAGTCTGTGTTAATTCTTTTTTAATGTTTGATGGAATTATCCAGTGAGTTCATTTGGATCTGGTAATTTCTTTTTTTTTTTGGGATTCTTTGAATTATGAATTCAGTTTTCTTGATAGTGGTAGAGCTATTCAAATGATCTATTTTATATTTGGTGAGTTGTGGTAATTTGCATTATTTGAGGAATAAGTCTATTTTGCCCAAGTTGTCAAAGTTATGTGTGTAGAGTTGTTCCTAGTAATTCCTAATTATCTTTTTTCATATCTTTAGAGCTTGTTTCATCACTAATGTTGGGTAATTTATGTCTTTTTTTTTTTTTTGTCAGTCTTGCTTAGAGAGGTGTGTCAGTTTTATTGATCTTTTCAAAGAACCAGCTTTTTGCTTTACTGTTTATTGTTTTTCTGTTTTCACTTTGTTTCTACTCTTACCTTAATTATTTCTTCCTTTCTGCTTACTTTTGGGTTGATTTTGCTATTTTTAATTTTCGTTTAGGTTGTCAACGTGGGCACTTATATTATTGATTTGTTTCCAAGTTTCTAATGTACCATTCATTTAGTGCTGTAAATTTGTCTCTCGTCACCCACTGTAGCTCTTTCCCATACATTTTGATGTATTGTACTTGCATTTTCTCTCAGTTCACAATATATTTTAAAATTTCCCTTGAGACTTTCTCTTTGATCCATGGGTTATGTAGAAGTTTATTGTTTAGTTTCTGAGAGTTAGGCAATTTTCCTGTAATTGTTCTCTTGTTGACTTCAGATTTGTTCCCATTGTTTGAGGGAACATATGCTGTGTGATTTTAATTTCAAAAAATTTGTTAGGTTTGTTTTATGCCTCAGGATATGTTCTAACTTAGTATTTGTTTTGTGGATACTTGAAAAGATTATGTATTCTGTTATTATTGGCTGGAGTGTTCTATAAATTTTGATTGGCTCTAGTTGATGGATGGTGATGTTGCGTTCTATATCCTGGCAGCTTTTCTGTCTCCTAATTTTATCAGCTGTAGAGAGAGATTTTGAGGTCTCCAACTATAAAAGTATAAATGTCTTTTTCTCCTTTCGGTTCTATTCATTGTTTTTTTGTTTGTTTGGTGTCTGCACGTTTCGAATTGCTGTGTCTTAATGGTGGATTGACCAAGTTCTCATTTTGTAATGTTGCCGTTGGTTCCTGGTAATTATCTTTTTTTTTTTTTTGAGACGGAGTTTCGCTCCTTTTGCCCAGGCAGGAGTGAAGTGGCATGATCTCAGCTCACTGCAACTTCCGACCCTACCAGGTTCAAGTGATTCTCCTGCCTCAGCCTCCTGAGAAGCTGGGATTATAGGCTTCTGCCATCACACCCAGCTAATTTTTGTATTTTTAGTAGAGATGGGGTTTTGCCATATTGGCCAGGCTGGTCTCAAACTCCTGAGATCCACCCACCTTGGCCTCCCAAAGTGCTAGGAGTACAGGCGTGAGCCACTGTGCCCGGCCCTCCTGGTAATTATCTTTGTTCTGAAGTTTACTTTATTTGTTATAAATATAGCCAACTCCTGCTGTCCTTTCAGTAATGTTTGCATGATCTTTTTTTTTCTATACTTCTATTTTCAGTTTGCCTGTTTGAAGTCACTTTCTTATGGACAACATATAGTTGGATCATGTTCTCTAGTCTACTCTCCTAGTGTCTTTTAATTGATGTATTTAGATTGTTTACATTTAATTTAATGTCATTGATAAATTGAGGCTTAACACTGCCATTTTGTTTTGCATTTTCTATTTCTTCTGTTTTTCATTTTTTCGGTTTGGTTCTTCCTGGCTCTCTGTGGTTTACTTGACCATTTTTAGCATTCTATTTCATCTGTAGTGTT